>NC_000020.11:1884516-2036031 GCF_000001405.40 Homo sapiens | reverse complement strand
GAGATGAACTGGTTGCTGTCCTTGCCTTGCGGATTTCACCCAAATGCCTCTACTGTGTGTCTAACTATTGAAGTCACCTTGAACATCCCTTACAGGGGACTCTTTTCTAATTGCTTTCATTTTTGTTTTGTTTACCCCTGCATTTTTTCTCTTTCCCCAACTTAGTTGTGAGAGCCTTGAGAGCAGGGACAATTTTCTTTGGATCTGCCTCGGTGTCTAGTGCTGTGCTTCTACCTAGCAGCTCTTTGTAATTGTTTGTCTACATTTCACCCCTGGACTGTCTATAATAATAATAAAGCTGATACTTATTGAGCACTTACTATGTGCCAGGTCTTGCATTGCATTCATTATTTTATCTTGGTCTTACCACAGCGTTATGCGGTAGGTACTTTTTACCCCCATTTTACAGATGAGGGAACTGAAGCCTAGAGATGCAGAGTCACTGGTTACAAATCTGCTCATTGACAGAGCCAAGAGGGAATGCAGGCAGTCTGATGCTAGAGACTGCTCTCCTCTGTGAACTGAACCACCCTCTGCGATTAGAGAGATGGATATGACTATATTCGTCCTATTTGCGTCAAAGGATGGCCTAAACACAATAAAACGAAATAACTGGAGAGTGCTTAAAAAAAGAAGAGGAAGAAGTTAGGAGTTAAAAGGAACAGAATTATCATTAAACCTTGGGGATTTCCAGAAGTTATTTAATAGTGCCGGTTCCCTGACATTATCATCTGGTACTATCTCCCCTCTATAAATGGCCCCCAGGAGGAATGGTGTTGATGAGAAACCAGTGGTAATTGGAAGAAAATTGCTCCTCCAGGTGTTTCAGAGTGAACCTTAAATCTTTGCCCTTGCAGATAAAGCAAGTTTCTGAGAAGTTCAATTTTGGTGCCTCATTTGAAGGTGACAGAGAGGTGAAAAAGTATTGATTCTTTTGGAGTACTTTTGGGATTTGGAGTCCTGGGGAGTTGGATCTGCATATTGTCTGTCTCCCCTTTCTAGGCCCAAGGATTCCCTGGGACCAGGACTAGCCTTCACCTACTTGTGTATTTCTGGTTCATCATGGGTATTCCAGATTGTGCTGGCAAATATCTCCCAGAGATGACTGTCTGAGATGATGCTTATCCTTAAAGTAACCACTATGGCCAGGCAAAAAGAGAACTTTGTCCAGGTCTGGGTGAGTAGCTACCACTGTGGTGGTGGAGAACCACATTTAATGTGTTCCACACACAGAGAAAGGGGTTCTGTTTCCCTAGGGAGGTAGGGAAAGGGGCTCTAAACCACAGGTGTCCACAGTCAGGCATCCAAAGTCAACAGTCAGAGCAAGACCTCTTTTTGCTCCAAGCAGTAGCAGACAGCACAAATTGTGACCACCTTGTCTTGCACTGACGAGAAAACCACAGAGCTCATTAGCTGGGTGATGACTTTTGCTGCCAAATGAAGAGAAACTGAAGACAATGGAATTATACATCCATTAAAGAGAGTGAGGCAGATGATAATGACAGTTAACATTTACTAGGAACTATGATACGCACTTTGCAGGCATTATTTCATTTAAGTCAACAGCCTCATGAGGTAGGTTCTATTATTATCTCCCTTTTACAGAGGAAGAAATGACACTTGGAGAAGTTGAGTCACCTGCCCAAATGGTTTGGGTGGAGCACATTTCAGAGGCCAACTCTCTTCTTTCCTAGCTTTTTATTTTTTAAAAAAATAAACCTCAGAAAAGTTCAAGACAAGTTCAATGAATACCCATATATCCTTCACCCAGATTCACCAGTCCTTCAACATTTTGTCACATTTGCACCATACTCAGGAAATTCAAGGCTAATACCATACATTCGCTACATTCTATATTTGAATCCACATTCTATACTCAAATTTTCCCAACTGTCTCCCAAATGTCCTTTTCAGCTAGTTTCTTTCCCATCTAGGATTCAACCCAGGACCACGCCCTACAATTAGATGTCATATCTCTGTAGTTGCCTTCAACCTAGAGCAGTTCCATAGCCTTTTCCCAGTGCCCCCCGTCCCCATAACACTAACATATTTGAAGAGTCGAGGAGAATATCTCATGCTTTGGATCCATCTGATTGCTTCTTCCTGATTAGATTGGTGGCAATGGCTCTGGAGTGATGTCATGTCCTTGTTAGCACCTCACACAGAAAGGCATGTCGTATCAGTTTGTCCCTTGTCCCTCACTGGTGATGCTAAATTCAATCCCTTGGCTAAGCAGTGGTCATCAGATCTGGACCCTCCCACCTCTGTAAATAAATAACCCTTAGGTTGATACTTGGAAACAGTGTGAAAATCCTATTCTTCATACATATAACTCCACTGCACCTAATTACTGACATGGATAGATATGGATGTACCCATAGTACATAATTAAATTTAAAAAGCAAGTGGCAGAACCGTGCATGCAATTACAACCTTCCTTCTTTTTGAGCTACTGTACATATTAATAAATACGTAAGAGAGAGGTGTTGGCTGAGAAAGACCTAATCTATAATAGCTGGGCTATTTGCTCAGGGTAAGCCCTAGCTATGAGTATCTCTGGGTCTTCTCTCCGGGGCTGCTCATTTTCCCCAGAGTGGAATCTTTCCGACTGGTGGGGTAAAAGCCTGAGTCTGTCACAGTAGAGAGGAGAATGAGGCCTCAGCCTTTAAGTGATACCTTTCACGTAACTCAGCTCTTTCCCTGTTTTGGGATGGAACACCTCAAGGCCAGAGCCTCTTGCTTCAACTGTACCTTTTTTTAAGAGGCACAGCACATTGCCAATTCCTGAGCTTTGTGGGGATCCATAGCATAAATTAGATGAATTTTCTGGTTCTATACTGCCTGCATAGGTTTCAGCTTTCTTAGATCTGCTAAGTCAGTTTCCATTGGTCCATTTGCTGCATAGCATCACTAAGGTTTCATTGCTGTTGCCTTCTCTATCCTTCTCCTTATCCTGTGGGTCATCTCTTTGATCTCTTAAATTATAGTGAGAGTGTGGAGGGGCACAGAGGTAACTGTGTTTCACTGGTTATGCTTAGCTGTAAATCCATAGCATATACAGTTTTACAGGGTTTCAGTTTTAAAATGAGTCTATATTTTGTAAAAACAAATTAAAATGCAATAAAAACATTTTTGTTTTGTTTTTAAACATGCCACATCTAAGAGGCATAGTAGTCAGAAGCCTTATGATTGCATATGAGAGATATTCGCCTCAAATTGGTTTAAGGAAAGGAGGAAATGTATTGGTTCACGTAATTGAGGCGTCCACAGTGATGCCTTGGGAACGCCACGGACACCAATAATGTCCTTAGGAATCTCTCTTTCCATCCTTGACTCTCTCTTCCCCATCTTTGGTTTTTTTGTACAGGCTTTCTCCATTGCTCTCCATCTGCACATTTACACCTGCAAAATGGGGCTGTCAGGAAAAATGAGTGATGGAAAGAGCTGAGAATTAATGCACTCAGCAAACAGAGAAGGTTTCTGAAATCCTAACCAGTAATAAGCATAATTGCTCTTCAGAAACCTACCCAAAGACCCCGCCTCCAAGAGCAGGCACACAATGAGGCAGAGGAGAATTTTCAGCTTTGCATTAGGAGCTGCCTGAGCTGAGAAAATGGAAACGTGTCTGGGTGAATGAGTCAGTCATCAGCCTTGGTACAAGCTGATCTCTACCCATGGCCCAGGCAGCTGTGCCCCACTCCAGAGCTTCCCCAGGTCTCCGTGTTCTCAAGACTGAGTGCTGGAGATGCTGGAGGGTAAGGTCTTAAGGTCACAACTGCCTTACATTCCATGATGACGATATGTGTGTGTGTGTGTGTGTGTGTGTGTGTGACTGACCTCTCCGACCCTTATATGCTGAGCTCTGTTTCCTGGGTTGAAGGATGAGGATATGGTCTTTTTGTGCAGCAGAAATTGAGATAATGGAGACTGTGGTGCAGTCAGTGAGCAGCAGGGAAACAGCAGGAGAGAAGGCAGGGGGGCAAGAAGATGAACTGCACGTTTAGGGCAAGTAGGTAGTTCTTGTTGCCAGGGCAGCATCCTTTAGAAGTTCTTAGGACCTTGGATAAATTGTCTTATTTCTGCCAGCCTCAGTTTTCTCATCTACAAAATGGAGCAGCATTAGCACCCTACCTTATTTATAGATGTTAAAAGCCAGAGAGAACATTTTGTTTTCTCTTTTTTTTCCCCCTATGTTTGGAAAAAATACTTTGATAAGCTTGTGGAGGGTGAGAGACATGCACCCAACCCTTTCAGGGAATAAAACCACCAAAGGTGATTCCCATGCTGCTGTGCAGATGGCGAGGGGAATGTATGTTGCTCATGAGAGAGAGGGAGGCAACGGGGAAGAATGACATTGGTCAGACAGTGTGTGTAAGCCTCTTGCCTACTTACTGCAGCTCCCAAGAGTTTAATCAAGTTGACAAAACTCACAAAATGCTCAGTGTGGGTGGAGTTCCTGGACAGATAAGGGAAGAGGCTGAGTAGATAGGGATGTAACAGAGACATTCCTGCAGAGGACACAGTAAAGAAAATCCCTTTGCAGAAATCATGGAGAGGACTTTATAGCCATAAAGCTGGGGTCTGAGCAACGCTGTCCATCTGCAAAAGGGAACCTGAATGGATGGCATCCGAGGAAGTGAAACACAATGATGAGTGGATGGGAATGGACACAATGCTTGATATAGTAGATGCTCTATAAGTGGCAGCTACTATTATTTAAATGATCACTATAATTAGAACACTTGTTACTCCCTGTTGTCTCTCAGGACTGGGCCTGTGAGCCTTGAGCCAGTTCTCTCTAACCAGTGTTTTGCTTCTCTATTAGGAAATACAATTTGTACGGAAGGAATTGAAATTCATTGAGCCTCACTAGCAATAAAAGAAAAGTGGCCGAGTACGGTGGCTCACACCTGTAATCCCAGCACTTTTGGAGGCCAAGGCAGGCAGATCACAAGGTCAGGAGATTGAGACCATCCTGGCTAACATGGTGAAACCCCATCTCTACTAAAAATACAAAAAATTAGCCAGGAGTGGTAGCATGCACCTGTAGTCCCAGCTACTCGGGAGGCTGAGGCAGGAGAATCGCTTGAACCCAGGAGGCAGAAGTTGCAGGGAGCTGAGATCACGCCACTGCATTCCAGCCTGTGTGACAGAGCAAGACTCAGTCTCAAAAAAAAAAAAAAAAAAAAAAGAGGCAAATCAAAACCACACAATATTATTTAGTTTGTTTGGCACATATTTTGTTTTTCAAGTGTTAATACCTAGTATAGGTATGGACAAGTGGAGATCAGCCATCTTAAATCACGTAGGTGGGAGTATAAATTCTTACAACTTTTCTTGAAGACAACTTGACAAACAGCATTATAAGCATTAAAAACACACTTGTCTTTTGACTTTACAATTCCATGTCTAGAAATAATATGTAGTAGATGTTGGCAAAGGTTTAGTTGAAAGGCATACTGTGCTGATTGTTGCAGTGAAAAATCGGAACTAGCTAACTGTTCAACAATAGGTATTTAACTAAATGAATAATGGTACATCCACACATAGGACTAAAAAGCAATCATTCTAAATGATATTGTTGGAAGCGTATCTACTGGCCTAAATATAAAGTTAATTGAAAAAAGCAAGGAACCAAACTGTGTGTGGATATGAGCTTTTCATCTCTTCAAGATATTCCTGGGCAAGCCATGTCATTAGGGTACCCCCTGGGCTTATGACTCAAGCTAGGTCAATGAAGGATCCTAGGATGATGGTAAACCTCTCAGGAGGGAAACACCTCTCTTTCTGCAGGCATAAGTTCTAAAAACCATGCATGCTAAGAGCTGTCAGATCCCTCTTTGCCACCATGTGGGAGAACCTGCTTCAGATGAAACAAACCAAGGGAAAGTAAAGCCAAGAGGGAGAATGGGACAGATCCATGATATTATTGAGCTCCTGGATCCACCTGTTCCTGAAGACAGCCCCTTGAGATTTTTCAGTTCTATGAGCCAATATATTTCCTTTATTGCTTACATTAGTTTGAATTGGGTTTCTCTCACTTTCAAGTAAAAGAGTCTCCACTAAAACTATTTCAGCTTTATAAAAATCAACGACAAAGCAGTATCCAGAAAAGTTTACATGAAGATGTTGATTGTGATGATCTCTGGGTGGGCAGGGTTGCATTGTTGCTTATTGTCCTCTTTTTGCTGGAATCCTGGGGTATTTAAAAATAGGCCCGCAAGTTGATCTTTGATGCTCCTTTCAGCAAAAAATAGGGTCTCCGTCTTCTCCCACTGAATCTGCAGTGACCTTAGTGACTAAATGTCCACTGGAGTGCTGGAAAAGTGATGCTATGTGACTTTGAATGCTAGGACATCAAAGGCCAGGAGGCTTTAGCTAGTTATTTTGATGTACAAGCCTTGGAGTCTTGAGCTTCCTTGCAAGGAGTCCAAGGTAGTCATGCTATGAGCAAGCCCAGGCCACATGGACAGGTCATATGTAGGTATTCCAGCCAATGGCCCAGGCTGAGGTCCTGAATGACTGCCAGACATGTGAGTGAGGACATCTCCAGATGATCCTGCCCCCAGCAATCAAGTCAACCCCAGCCTTTGGTCATCTTAGCTGAAGTTCCCTGGTGGAACAAATACATGCCATTGCCCACCCCCCTCGTTCCCTTTCCAAATTCTTGACTCACAGAATGTGGGAGCATAATAAAATTGTTATTTTAAGCTGCTGCCAAATTTTGGAATGGTTTGTTACACAAAAATAGATAGTTGAAACATAGATTTATTTTTATTTTTCTGTAATGAACAAGAGTTGTTTCATATTTTTAAAACTAGCAAAAATTACTCTTAAAGTTTTCAGACATAAAAAAATTTCACAGCACCATCTGGTAAGATTTACTTGGTCCTTTAGGTAGTGGGGGTGAGGGTGACAGACATTGCTCCACTTCCCATTCCATAGCTCATTGAAGGTCCAAACTGAATGAGTCAACATCCTAGAGTCATTGTGACCCCTGATATACTGAATTACTGAATTCTCAGAAGCAACTGTCAACTGTCTCATCTAATAGGTTCAAAATAATTTCTGCCTAATTGCAAATGTTGACAACTCTTTTGAAAAACAATTTGGCAGCGTGTTGTACATGAGCTAGCATGCTTATATTTGAAAGTGAAAGCAAAAATGCCACTTAAAGTGGCTTATCCAAGAAAAGGAATTTATTGACTCACATAATTAAAAAGCTGAGAGGTAGGGCCAGCTTCAAATGAAGATGAATCCATCAGCAATGTGACCATGATGTCTCCCTTTAGGTATTTCTCTCCTCTGCTCCCTCGGTGGGGAGGGGGCTAATCCTCAGTGAGCAACAGGATCTCCCTTTGTGGCCACCAAATTGTAATCACTGGCACCAGGGCTCTATGTCTTCTGGCTCCATTCAGAAGAGTGTGTTTTCCTGATAGTAAAACACAAAGCAAAACAAAAATTAAAACCACTACTGGGTATACATCCAAACAAGATGAAATTAATATGCCAAAGGGATACCTACCTGCACTCACACATCCACTGCAGCATTATTTACAATAGCCAAGATATGGAATCAACCTGTGTCCAGCAAGAATGAATGGATAAAGAAAATGTAGTATATATACACAATAGAATACCATGCAGCTTTGAAAAAGAAAGAAATCTTTTCATTTTTGACAACATGGATGAACTTGGAAGATATTATGCTAAGTGAAATAAGCCAGACACAGAAAGTCTAATACTATGTGATCTCACTTACACGTGGAATCTAAAAAAGTCAAATTCACAGAGAGAAGAATGGTAGTTAGCAGCGACTGACGGTAGGAGATGGAAGATGTTGGTCAAAGGATATAAAGTTTCAATTAGATAGGAGAAATAGGTTCAAGTGATCTGTTGTACAACATGGTGTCCATAGTTAATAACAATGTGTTGTATTCTTGAAAACTGCTAAGAGAGTAGATATTGTGTTTTCACAGACACTTAGCATAAAAAATGACGAGTACTGTGTATGAGGTGATATGTATGTTGCATGGCTTGATTTAGCCATTCTGCTATGTACAGTCATCCCTCCCTATCCTCAGGGTATTGGTTCCAGGATCCCTGAGAACATCATAACCTAAGGTTGCTCAAATCCTTTATATAAAATGACAGTATAGTCAGTCCTCCATATCTGCAGGTTCTGTGGATCCACAGATTCAACCAACTACAGATCAAAAAATATTAAAAAAAAAAGAACAGTCAATAACAATACAACAATAAAAGTGATGCAAATAAAAATACAGTATAACAACTATTTTTCATAGCACTTGCATTTCTATTAGGTATTATAAGTAATCCAGAGATGACTTAAAGCATATGGGAGGATGTTCATAAGTCATACGCAAATACTACACCATTTTATATAAAGGACTTGAGCAACCTTGGATTTTGGTATCCGAGGTGGGTCCTGGAACCAATACCCAGAGAATACTGAGGGACAACTATATTTGCATATTACCTATGATGGCAGTGGCAACCCATCTGGGGTGGCCACTGCCATGACACCAGCTGCAGTGGGGGAGGTGTGGCTGGGGCTGCACACTCCATGGAGCTGGTGGGAGCCACGAACAGGTAGGAGCCCTGCTCCCATCCAAGTTAAAGGGGTGGGAGCTCTGCCCTCCCAGGCACAGCTGCAGCTGCCCAGCCATGGCTGTGGACCCAGGAATCTCTGCATTCTCTGCGGCCTGGGAGCCCCTCTTACCCCCACAGGCTCAGAAGTGCCTGCTCCCACTGCCTGGCCTCTTCCTGCTCCTGGTGCCCACTCCAATTTTGGAGCAAAGGTGTGGCCAAGCCTGGGCGCTGTCATGACCTGGCCAGGTGTGTATGTGCTTGGGGGCAGCACTGACATGCCAGCCTCCTGCTGCCTCAGCCCCCTCTGGACTTTGGGTGCTGACAAGTATGGGAGGGAGGCAGAGGGGCAGTTAGGGCAGCTCAGCACAGGCCTGAGGGCACCCCTTGGCATGAACAGCCTGGCCATTGTGAGCACCGTGCATGGCAGGTTAATGGTGGCAGGAGGTGGACAGGCTCCTGAGTGGAAAGGGGTGGGTCCCTGGTGAAACCCCACCTTCAGCTCAGGGACAGCCTGAGGCCTGGGGACTGCACTGACAGTTCTGCAGGAGTAAGAACTTATGGTCCTTTCTCTAGGCCACCCATGACTAGCCATGGACAAGTCAGCATGCACTTCCTCTCCTCTGAAGCCCATAAAAACCCCAGACTCAGCCAGATTTGGGCAGATGCCAGGGTGACCTGCCTGCAGAGAGGAGCTACCCACTGCAGGTCTCCTGTCTGCTGACAGCTGAGCAGATGTTGGGATGACCTGCCTGTGGAGAGGAGCTACCCACTGTGGGCTCCTCTGAGCTGTTCTGTCACTCAGTAAAGTACGTCTTCGCCTTGTTCACTCTCCACTTGTCCACGTACCTCATTCTTCCTGGACACAGGACAAGAACTTGGGACTCATCAAATGGCGGTGATGAAAGACCTGTAACACAAACAGGGATGAAGCATGCCCCTTGTGTGCCACATTGCAGGCAATGAGAAGGGGAGAAGAGCTGCAGCCCTTTGGGGAGCCCACATCTAGTAGCTCCTTGAACCAGGGCTGTGACATCCTCTTTGGGACTCTGTGGTTCCTGGCATCTCCAAGCTTCTGTGCGCCACCATGTTCCCCAGTGCCAGCTGTGGAAGCTGCTAGCAGTACACCTGGTCCAGCTGCAGCCTCGCAGAGAGCTGGCACCCATGCCAGCGCCTGGAGCTGCCTGCCCCGCCGCAGCTGGCATGCCTGGCTGTGCACAGTGGTTGGACCCCATGCTTATTCACACGTGCCTTACTACTCCATGGCTGGCTTACCCTTGGCAGGTGTGGGATCCAGGCTGGTAACATGAGCCGAGCACAGCTTGCCAGGCTGAGTGGGCAGAACGAGTCCAGTGGGCCTGAGCAAAACTTGAGCAAAGGTGCCACTGGCCACAGAGGTTTCTGGCTGGAAAAGCGACACCCCAAGGATCCTGTGACACCTACACATATCTCTGGTATATTTTAAATTATCTTTAGACCACTTATAGTATCAAATACAATGTAAATGCTATGTAAATATACTATATTTTATTTGTATTATTTTTCATTGTTGTATTGTTATTTTTTATTGCTTTTTTCCTATTACTTTTGATCCATGGTTGGGTGCATCCACTGATGTGGAAACCATGGATATGGAGCTTCAATTGTATACATATTTCAAAATATCATGTACACAATAAATATATACAATTCTTATTTGTCAATTAAAAAGAAGGGTTGGACCTGAGTCTGGTTGACTCTCATTGGACTAGCTTTGTTCACGTGATCACCCCTAAGTCCCTCACTCTGTGTATATGTGGGGTGTGGCTGGTATGGATGGTGTGGGTGTGGGGAGTGAAAGGACATCCCAGTTGGATTTAAATCAGGGATTCACTCAATGGTGTGAAGGTTTAATAAATCTTGCCCAAACTCTATAGGTGACATGTGCAGGGTTTTGTTAGAAAGGAGTAAGGAAAAAGTGTGAGTGAGGCATCTACACTATAGTGAGAGACACACAAGTCTTTATCCTTGTCCCAGGAGCCCTACTTCTGGGGAAATATTCTAAAACACAGGAAAAGGCATATTTATGGAGCTACTCACTGTTAATTACAAGAGTGAAAAGTGGGAAGCATCCTCAAAGTTGAATTCACTCATTTATTCCATAGCTATTAAGCTCTTTTACAATATGGTAGGCATCATTCTAGACTCTGGAAAAACTCACAGATAATAAGACTAGTCTGGAGTTTAAAAACTCGAGGTTCAGAGTATAAGAGAAAGTAAGTGCTGTGGGAGCTTAGAGGAAGGACACCCAACTTGATTTGAGGAATGACAGCAGGGAAGACTTTCTTGAGGAAGAGACTGAGAGACCAGTGACACTTAACCACAAAAGGGCGGGGAAAATGGTTAGGAGTGGGGGGTGAGGTGGGAGCAGGTAGATAAAAATTATGAATGCCTGGGTCGCACTGCACAGATTTGGTTTCTATTGGATTAGGGTAAGGGGTGGGCATGATTTGTTTTCAGAGAGCCGAATTAAAAGAATAAGTTGATATAAACTGATAAGCTCCTGGGGGTGGATGGAGTAGGAGACTCTCAAGACCATTGCTTCAATGTTAAGATGTGATTGCAATAATGTGGAAACTGAGACAAAGAGAGGAGTGTATTCTGGTTCTGAAATGACTTGGGAGTAGTTACGGGTGGGTGCTGCCAGTGTGCTTGTGCATTCTCTATCCCCACTTTGTTCCTTCCCATGGAGAGTCTTCCACGGTCAGACCCTGTCCCAGATGCTGGGGCTACCTTGGTCGCCAGCCACTGTCCCATTCCTTATGAGCACCTCCCCATGAACTCACCCCTAGATCTTGTTTAAAACTTTCCGTGATTGGATTGCCCATGGAACCCAGTGAGGGGCTGCACATGGGGTCTGGGAGGATACGGGGATGTCAGAGACAATGACATGGTCAGCGCACATGGTCAGCAGAGTGGACCAGGCAAAGCCCCATGGAAGTCACAGGAATTTGGGGACAGCTATGGAGTAGGAGATGCCAGGCTCTTTGAGGGAATAACAGGCAGCTCCCAAAGGTGCCAGCCTCTCTTTCCCGGCAGAATCAAGGACAGGATTTTGGTTCTGCTGGGAAAGAGTCTGGCACCTTTAGGTGCTGCCTGTTATTCAGTTTGGCTCAGGTAGTGTGAGGGGGAGTGGTGAGTGACAGGGTGGGAGACATTTGCTGGCCACATCTTTGAAGGTCTGTTAAACTGGATTAAAGCCCTTGGACTTAATCCTGAGAGCAAGGAGAAGCCAATAAACCTGACCGGGAAAGTGGACTGATAGAAAAATCCTGCTGGCTGCTGTGGGAAGAACACATGGCAGACCTGGTTTTGAGGTTTTGATCTTAGGGCACTGCCACTTACAAGTCAGAGCACTTGGGTGAGTGGCTTTCCTCCCTGAGCGTCAGCATCCTCATGTGTACAATGGCGGTGATACTATTTACCCACTGTGGGTCGATGGGTGGATACAATGTGATAGGGTGCATGTGATAGGACAGGGTCATATGTTTAAGAAGACTGAGCATGGGGCTAGACTGCTTGGTTTGAATCCTGGCTCTGCCCTTGACCAGCTGTCTGACCTTAGGCAAGTTGTCTGACCTCTTTGTGTGTCAGTTTTCCCTTCCACGGAATGGGGATATACTAACTTCCTATCTGATAAGATTATATGAAACTTAATATTAGTCACATGCTCAGAAGGATGACCAGAGAAGTGTTTATTAAATAAGCAAAGTGCTGAGAGTAGCTGAAAGGGCATTGGAGAGGACTTGATTTGCCCAAAGTCAGGTAGCACGTAGATGGTACCAGAAGCTGATCTGAGCTAAAGCCTTTCCCCTGTACGATGCCTTTTAAGTTAGATTGTTCATCTTATTACTACTGTTTCTAATTCTTTCTTTAATGTGGGATAAGAGCATAGATTCAAACCATAAACACTACACAATACTGCTTCTCCTATATATGAAATACCTGGCAGGTAACAATAATTAATGATCAAAGAAGCAATTTCCTCTCTGTCCTCAAGGCGCTGGCCGGAGGATCAGCACAGTTTCGAAAAGGATGCCAAAAGGGTGCTAAAGAAAACCTGGGGTGGACTTGTAACCATCTGGACCCAGGTTGGTATTATGAGTTCAAAGCCTGGTTCCACCAATTAGGAGAGGTGTGACCTTGGACAAATCACTTAACCTCTTTGTGTCATACTTTTTCATCTGAGAAAATGGGGTGGGATGGGGAATAATATCACTCTCCGAGGGTTGTTTTGAGGATTAAGTGGGTTAATACCTGTAAGTGCTTTTTGTACCTGGCACGTCCTAAACACTGAAAAAGGTTAGCTATGAAGCAATGATGATGATGATTCTTGAGTGTTTACTCTGCGTCAGGCTTCACATTTGCTGTCTTATTCCAGGCTCACAAAAACTCTAGCAGGTAGATACTATCTATATATCTATATAATATCTGCATCTGTTACCCATGGAGATGAGAGATTGGGCTCGGGGACCTTAAATAACTTGCCAAGGTCACACAGCAAGTACATGGTGAAGCTGGGAGTTGAATCCCCACCTATTTGATTTCAAAGTCTGAATCCTTAACCACCCACTAACCTTCCGTGTGTCAGTCAGCCCCACCAGACTTTGAATAACATGGGGGCAAAAAGCATGTTATTAATTTTCACACCCTTCACCACCCCACTAACACTTCTAAGTGCCTGCCCCAGAGTAAGCATCAGGAAATGTTTGCTGAATGAATTGTTGATCTTTCCTCCCACTCTGGGCACCCCTCAGTCCTTCAAGGACTTCCCTCTCTGTAGCCTTGAACCAGCTTTTACTGAGCATAAAAGGAGGAGTTATAAAAAGAAGTCTTTCTCTCCAAGGATACAATTAATCAGAAAGCTTCAGTTGCGCACATACCTCTGTCTGTATAAATACATGTATTTGTATCTATATAAATAGTAGCATTCACAGAGGTTGCTAGCTCAGTGATGTGGTTGAATGGGAAACTGACAGCGTGATTCATGCTCAGGTCAAATTTAACTCTAACCTGTTTGTGCAAGACAGATTTACTTCAAGAGCCCTTTCTGTTGCATAATTGCTATGGGCCCACCTTCTCCCCAGGAGAGGATATTTCCACATCAGCCCACAATCTCCTGCTGCTGCATACCCAAGTCAGATCTGGAGTCTCTTGGCCACTTTCCCAGCAGTGTGGGCCCAGGTAAGATCCAACCAGGCTGTCTTTGTCAGCGCAGGAAGGAGTAATAAAAACTGCAGCAGGGGGCTGCCAGCCAGGAAACCTGGGAATATGAGATGGAGAACCCTCTGGCATAAGTGATCTAGAGAAAGCCGTTAACCCATCTGTCTATCCATTTATCCTTCTACCCACACATAGCATCTATCTATTCATCTATAGCATTCATCTATCCATGTGTTTGGCTGTCTGTCCATCCATCCATTATATCCACCCATCCATCACATTCATTTCTCCATTCATCAGGCATGCATAAGATATGTGCTGAGCAGCCACTATCTGCCTGCACTGTGCTGAACACTGGGGTTATAGTGAACAAGTCAGACAGAGCCCTTGCATTTATGGAGCTTACATTCTAGCATGAGTTCAGTCAATAGACACATAATCATGCCAATAACTTATTAATCAGAGGCTCCAAGAAGTGCTGTAGAAAAGAGTTCCATGGCGGCAGGGCGTGGTGGCTCACGTCTGTAATCCCAGCACTTTGGGAAGCCGAGGCCGGCAGATCACGAGGTCAGGAGATCAAGACCATCCTGGCTAACACGGTGAAACACCATCTCTACTAAAAATACAAAAAATTAGCTGGGCGTGGTGGCGGGCGCCTGTAGTCCCAGCTACTCGGGTGGCTGAGGCAGGAGAATGGCGTGAACCCGGGAGGCGGAGCTTGCAGTGAGCAGAGATCGCGCCACTGCACTCCAGCCTGGGCGACAGTGCGAGACTCCATCTCAAACAAACAAAAAAACAAACAAACAAAAAAGAAAAGAGTTCCATGGGGTTAAGAGACCCTGTACCTAGGGAACTTGGCCTAGTCTTGGGGCCAGGGAAGACTTCTAAGAGTTATGGATAAGAAGGAACAATCCATCCAACTAGGAGCTGGGTGGAGTTTTCAGGGCAGAGAGGAGAGCCTGAGGGCAACTTTGAGGCTGAGAAGACCTCGGTGTGAGCAAGAAGCAAAGTGGTTTTAATGCACTAAGGAGGAGAGCGAAAGGAGACTGGGTTGGCAAGGCACTGGGAGGCGAGATCACCCAGGACTTTGGAGGCTGTGGAAGGATTTGGTGTCTGGAAGGATTCTAACTTTCTTGTGGTTCCATTTTCTCTGATGGAGTGGGAGCTTCATGTCTTCAAGGGGAAGGTGGTAAATCATGGTGAAGAAGTACAGAGCTGAGCTGAACTCTGAGATCCTCCATTCTACAGATGTCCAGGCTTAGCTCACTAAGTCATTTAACTTCTCTGACTCTCAGATTTTTTCACCTGTAAAATGATGATAATCCTTCCTTCCTTTCACCCTTCTTTTAATGTTCACAGAGCACCTACTATATGTTGGGTGCTGTTCTGGGCGCTGGTGAAATTCCAGTGACCGAAATAGATTAAGTGAACTGAGTTGTTGTAAGGACTAAATGAGATAATGCATATAAAGCATTTGGTAACATGCCTAGTTCATTGTAAGGGCTTATTAGATGGTAGCTGTTTTGATTATTATTTTAAAAATTAAGGAACACTTTTCTAATATTGTTCAATATACTGGGAGCTCCAAGAAAATAGCAGGTGGCATTTCCTTTCTCCAATCCTAGCATCCCTATTCACGTATTCTACCAACACAGGAATCTGGTACACATTCTTCATTCATCCCTCTTCCCTACATCCGACAGCTAATCATTTACCAAGTTCTGCCTATCTTACCTCCTAAATATCTCAAATGTACCCACTTGTCTGTAGCTCCCATTCACTGACATAGTTTGGAGTTGTTAATCTTATGCCTGTTTAGCAGAAATTGTTAATTGCTTAGTCAAAATATATGCATTCCCTTCTTCCTTACTCAAAGAATCATGATTCTCGGTATCTGTAATGTTCATATCTTCAGGATAAATACTCACATTCCCAGCCTCTTTTGCACTTAGGAGTGATCATTCTGGCCAAAGAGTTAGAAGCAAAGTCTCCTGGAGGAGACTTTACCCAAGAGTTACTATTTCCTGATATTTCTCTAAGAAATTTACTAAGGAGATAGGACAATGAAATGCAATGTAGGATCCTGGATTGGATTCTAGGCCAGAAAACAGACATCCATGGGAGATTTGGCAATATTTTAATAAGATCTGTAGTTTAGTTAATGGTACTGTGTCAATGTTGATTTCCTGGTTCTGATAATTTTACTATGGTCATGTAAATTGTTAACATTAGGGGAAGTGATGAAGGGCATACTGAATTCTTTGTACTGCATTTTCAACTTTCTGTAATTCTTCAACTGTTCTAAGTTATTTCAAAATAAAAACTTTTTCAAAAGATCCTTTTAAGCTTAAGGAAAAAAATTATAAAACACAAGAGATTGGCATAGTTTTTAATTATATTTTTATTCTAGAGAGTATGGAGTATTCCCTATTAAGAGATACGATGATATTAGCACCCTTATAATTATTTTTATTTTCTCTTCCCCAACTTGTCAATTTCTGTTAATTATTATTATTATTACTATTAGACAATAGATATAGATACTCTCTCTCTGTCACCCAGGTTGGAGTGCTGTGGTGTGATCATGGCTCACTGCAGCCTTGACCTCCTGGGCTCAAGTGATCCTCTTACCTCAGCCTTCCAAGTAGGTGGCTGGGACCACAGGTGCATGCCACCACACCCAGCTTTTTCTCATCTTTTTTTCTTGTAGAGACAAGGTCTCACTATGTTGTCCAAGCTGGTAATTATTTTTATATTGTCAACATTTTTTGGCAATCATAATTATTACTGGAGCTGTTTAATCTTAATTATGTATTTAAGTACATTCAGTGCACACCACCAGGCCTTTTGTTTCCTGAAATCTTTATTTTGACTTATCTCTTTATTGGCTGGATTTCCTAAATAGGAACTTTTTTTTCAAGAATGGCTCATTGCTGCTACGTTCCTTGAGCTCATGCATTCTTGAGGATGTCTCTGATTTGCTATTATATACAAATGAAAACTTGGCTAGCTATACAATTCTGGGATTTGCATTCAGAACTTTGTAAACATTCCTCTACCATTTTCTATCATTGGGTTTTAAAAAAGCTTACATAGTGTGACATCGGCTTGTTGGTATACTGTTTTATAAATTTTAACATATCAAATAGTCACATAGCCATGACAAGAATCGAATACAAAATGGTACCATGATCTTCTGAACACTTTTTATGCTACCCCTTCAGAGACAAACCTTCCCTAACCGCTAGTTCTTGGAAACCAGTAATCTATTCTCTGTCCCTATAGTTTTGCCATATTGATGTCATATAAATGAATTTATATGGTATGTAACCTTTTAATACTGATATGTTTTGTTCAGCATAATGACTCTGAAATACATCCATACTGTTGTGTGTATCAAGTTTGTTCTTTTTTATTGCATTGTGTCAATAATCCACAATTTGCTTATCAATTATTAAAGGACAGAGTGACTGTACCATTTTCCTTCCAACCAACAATATATGAGAGTTCCAGTTGCTTTCCATCCTTATCAGTACATGATATTTGATTTTCCCTTCTTAATTTTAGCCATTCTAATAGGCATGTGATGGTTTCATCTTGGCTTTAATTTGCATTTCCATAAGGGCTAATGATGTCGAACATTTCTTCATGTGCTTATTTGTTAACTCATGTATCTTCTTTGGTAAAGTGGCTGTTTAAATTTTTTGCCTTCTTCTTGATTTTTGAGAGTTCTTTGAATATTCTGAAGACAAGTCCTTTGTAAAATATATTTCTTGCAAATATTTTGTCCCCACAGGTAGCTTGTGTTCTCACTCTGTTAGCAGAGCAAACATTTTAAATTTTGATAAAGCCCAATTTATAAAAAAATTTTAGTGGATTATGCTTTTGGTGTCATATCTATGAATTCTGTGCCTAACCAAAGGACATGAAGATTTCTCCTGTTTTTAGAGATTTTGTCTCAAATGTTCCATTTGTGATAATTTTGAGTTAATTTTATGTAAGGCATGATGTATAAGTTGAGGTTCAGCTTTTTTTTCACATAGGTGTTCAATTGTTCCAACACTATTTGTTGAAGAGACTTTTTTCCATTGAATTGCTTTTGCAACTTTGTCAAAAAGCAATTGACCATGTTTATGTGTCTCTTTCTGTACTCTCTGTTCTGTCCCACTGTTATGGGTCTGTCTTTTTGTTAATACCTCATTGATTTTATTACTGTACCTTTATAGCAAATGTTAAAATTGGGTGGTGTAGGCCCTCTAACATTATTTTAATCATCAAAATTATTTAGGCTCTTCTAATTCCTTTGCCTATACATATAAATTTTAGAATCAGTTTGTCTACATCTACTGAAAAATTCCTGCTGTGATTATGATTAGAATTGCATTAGTTTGGGAGAATTGACATCTTAACTATGTTGAGTCTTTCAATCAATGAGTATGGTATGTCTCTCTGTTTATTTAGGTCTTTTATCAGTGTTTTGTAGTTTTCAGCATATAGATTCCATATATGTTTTATTAGTTTTATACCAAAATATTTTACAATTTGGGGGTTTGTTGTAAATGGTACCATTTTTAAATTTCCCGTTTCTAATTGTTCATTGATGGTATACAAAAATATGATTAATTTTTATGCATTGACCTTGTATTCTGTGACCTTGCTAAACTTACCTATTCATTCTTTTTTTGTTTTTAGATTCCTTGGAATTTCCTATATATTGTCTGGGAATAGGGACAGTTTTATTTCTTACTTTCCTATCTGTATGCCTTTTATTTCTTTTCGTGACTTATTGCAGTGGCTAAGACCTGCAGTACAATGTGGAAAAGGAGTGGTGATAGTGGACCTCCTTTCCTGGGTCCCAATCTCAGAGGAAAAGCTCCCTCTTGCACCATTAAGTATAATGTTAGTTGTAGGCTTTTTGAAGATGCCCTTTATTAGGTTAAGGAAGCTGCCTTTTAATCCTAGTTTGCTGAGAGACATTTAAAAAAAAACATAGATGAATATTGAGTGTGGTTAGGTGCATTTTCTGCATCAATTAATAAGATTATTTGGTTTCCTTCCTTACTATGTTAATATGTTAGATTACGTTGATTTTCAAGTGTTGAACTGTTATTGTACTCCCAAGATAAACCTCACTTGGCCAAGACATATATTTTGTATGTGTGTGTGTGTTTGCATGGGTGGGTGTGTGCATGTATGTGTGTGTGTGATTTGCATATCCATACGTACACAGTCATGTATCACTTAACAATGAGGATACGTTCTGAGAAATGTGCTGTTAGGTGATTTCATCATTGTGTGAACATCATAGAGTGTACTTACATATATCTTGGTGGTATAGCCTACTGCACACTATTATGTATGGTATAGTTTATTGCTCTGAGGCTACAAACCTGTATAATATGTTACTGTACTGAATGCTGCAGGCAGTTTTAACACAATGGTGTTTGTGTATCTAAATATTTCTAAACATAAAAAAGGTACTGTAAAAATAGAGTATAAAAGATTAAAAAAAAATACACCTGTATAGGGCACTTCTCATGAATGGAGCTTGCAGGACTGTAAGTTGCTCTGGGTGAGTCAGTGAGTGAGTGTTCAGTGAATGTGAATGTGAATGGCATTACTGCACATGACTGTGAACTTTGTAAACACTATACACTTAGGCTACGAAATTTATAAAAATCATTTTTCTTTCTTCCATAATTAATTAACCCTTAGCTCACTGTAACATAAACTTTTTATTTTTATTTATTTTTTATTTTTGAGATGGACTTTCACTCTTGTTGCCCAGGCTGGAGTGCAATGGCGCGATCTTGGCTCACTGCAACCTCCTCCCGGGTTCAAGCGATTCTCCTGTCTCAACCTCCAGAGTAGCTGGGATTAGAGGCATGTGCCACCACGCTTGGCTAATTTTTTGTATTTTTAGTAGAGACAGGGTTTCTCCATGTTGGTCATCCTGGTCTCGAATTCCCGACCTCAGGTGATCCCTCCGCCTCAGCCTCCCAAAGTGTTGGGATTACAGGCGTGAGCCACTGCGCCCAGCCTATAGCCTTTTTAATTTAAAAAACTTTTTGACTCTTTTGAAATAACAGCCTAAAACACATCGCACGTTTGTGCAAAAATATTTTCTTTCTTTATATTTTCATTCTATTCACTTTTTTAAAATTTTTATTTTTTAAAACTTTTTTGTTAAAAATTAAAACATAGCACCTATATTAGCCTAGGGCTACACATGGTCACGATCATCAGTGTCACTGTCTTCCACTTCCGCATCTTGTTGCAGCGGGAGGTGTTCAGGGGCAATAACACGTGTGGAGCTGTCATCTCCTACGATAACAGTGCCTTCTTCTATAATACTTCCTGAAAGATTTGCCTGAGGCTGTTTTAAAGTAAATTTTTTATATTTATTTATTTATTTATTTATTTATTTATTTATTTATTTATTTATTTATTTTGAGACGGAGTCTCGCTCTGTCGCCCAGGCTGGAGTGCAGTGGCGCGATCTGGGCTCACTGCAAGCTCAGCCTCCCGGGTTCACGCCATTCTCCCGCCTCAGCCTCCCGAGTAGCTGGGACTACAGGCGCCGCCACCAAGCCCGGCTAATTTTTTGTATTTTTAGTAGAGACGGGGTTTCACCATGTTAGCCAGGATGGTCTCAATCTCCTGACCTCGTGATCCGCCCTCCTCGGCCTCCCAAAGTGCTGGGATCACAGGCATGAGCCATCGCGCCCGGCCTAAAGTTAACTTTTTAAAAATAAGTAGTAGAAGTGCACTTTAAAATAAGGATTAAAAATATAGCATAATGAACATGTACACCAATAACATAGTCTTTTATTATCATTACCACATGTTATGTACTGTACATAATTGTACTGCTATACTTTAATATGATTGGCAGTGCTATAGGCTTGTTTATGCCAGCATCCACACAAACATGTTAGTAAGGTGTTTCACTATGACATTAGGATGGCTATAACACCACTAGTAATAGGAATTTTTCGTCTCTATAATCTTATGAGACCACCGTTGTATACTTGGTCCATTATTGACCAAAAGGTTGTTACGTGGTGCATGACTGTACATGATTTGCTGATATTTTGTTGAAACCATATGTATGAGTTTGGAGTTATATTATTGAATGTTTTTAACTATTAATATTAATTTGGTTTTGTAATGGACATGGGAATATTTAGGTCATCTATTTCTTCTTGGGTGAGTCTTGATAGTTTGTGGCTTTCAAGAAATAGGCCCATTTCAGCTAAGTTGTCAAATTTAAGTGGATAGATTTGTTCATAGTATTTTTTATTATCCATTTATGTCTGTGTGGTCTGTAGTAATATTCCAATACTTTTACTCTAGAGATTGGTAATTTGTGTCTTCTCTCTATTTTTCTTAGTTAGTCTGGCTAGAGGTTTATCAATTTTATTGATCTTTTCACAGAAACAGCTTTTGGTTTGATTGATTTTCTGTATTATTTTTCTGTTTTCAATTTCATTGATTTCTGGCCTTATCTTTATTATTTCCTTTCTTCTGATTGCTTTGGGTTTATTTTGCTCCTTTTTCTAGTTCTTTAAAGTGGAATCTTAGATTGTTGATTTGACACTCTCCTTCTTTTCAAATGTAATTATTTAATGATATACACTTTTCTTCTGAACACTGCATTAGCCGCATCCCACAAACTTTGAGATGTATTTTCATTTTCTTTCAGTTAAAAATTTTGTAATTTCCCTCAAGACTTCCACACTGACTTATGGATTATTTAGAAAGGTCTTTTTAAGAAATTTCTAAGTGTTAGGGGAATTTGCCAGATAATTTTCCTATGTTAATTTTTAATTTAATTCCATTATGTTCAGAGACATTCTTAGGATGATTTACTCTTTTAAACTGTTAGGGTTTGTTTTATGGCACAGAATATGATCTATTTTGGTGACTGTTCCTTCAACATTTGAAAAGAATGTGAATTCTGCTGTGCTTGAATGGAGTATTCTGCAAATGTCAATTAGATGAGTTCACTGATGGTGTTGTCCAGTTCTTCTCTGTTCTTGCTATTCTCTCTGTACTTGTCCTGTCAGCTCCTGAGTGAGTAGCGTTCACACCTCCAACTCTAATTGTGGGCTTGCTCATTTCTCTTTTCAGTTCTAGCAGTTTTTGCATCACATATTTTGAAAGTCTGTTGTTAGATACATACTTCTTAAGAGTGTTATGACTTCTTTGTGATTGATGCTTTTTCATTATTTAAAACCCTCTTGATCTTTGGTAATTTTCTTTTCTCTAAAGTCTACTTTGTCTGATATTAACAGAGCCGCTCCAGTGACTTTTCTTTTTATTAGTATTTCCATGGTGTATTATTTTTCATCCTTTTACTTTTAACTACCTATGTCCTTATATTAAAAATGGAATTCTTGTAGACACTTATAGTTGAATCTTGTTTTTTTCTTTTTTTTGGTCCAAATCTGGCAATCTCTGTCCTTTAACTGGTGTGTGGTATGTTTAGACAACTTTCCTTTACTGTAATTATTGATAAGTTTGAATTTAGGTCTACTATTTTATGGGTTTTTTTTTTTCAACTCTGTTTTTCTTTGCTGCATTTTCCCTTTCCTGGCTTCTTTTGGAGTATTTGAATACTTTTTAGTATTCCATTAAAAATTTTCTATTGTGATTTTACTATATCTCTTTGTATATAGTTTTTAGTGGTTGCTCTAGGGATTATAATATACATACATGACTTTACAATTTACTAGAATCAATGTTTTACCGCTTCTGGTCTTACGTGTAACCTTATCATGAAATGGGTCCCTGGGTCCTCCTATTATAATGTATTTCTCATACATACTACCTCTGTATGTAACCCAGCCAAACAACGTTATAACAACTTTTTGCTTTCAACTGTCATTTCTTTTTTTCTTTTTCCTTTCTTTCTTTCTTTCTTTCTTTCTTTTTTTTTTTTTTTTTTGAGACAGAGTCTCTCTCTGTTGCCCAAACTGGAGGGCAGGGGCAAGATCTCGGTTCACCACAACCTCCGCCTCCCGGGTTCAAGAGATTCTCGTGCCTCAGCCTCCTGAGTAGCTGGGATTACAGGCATGCTCCACCACACCTGGCTAATTTTTGTATTTTATTTTTAGTAGAGATGGGGTTTCTCCATGTTGGCCAGGCTGATCTCTAACTCCTGGCCTCAAACCATCCACCCGCCTTGGCCTCCCAAAGTGCTGGGATTGAAGGCATGAGCCGCTGTGCCTGGCTTATTTTAAAGTTAAGAGGAGAAAGACAATCTATTTATGCAGATATTTACCATTCTTATTGCTCCTTCTTCAGCGCTCATGTTCCAAGTTTCCTTCTGGTATTATTTCCTTTCCTTCTGAAGAACTTCTAATAGTTCTTTTAGAACAGGTATTCTGGTGACAAAATCTTAGTTTGCCTTCATCCAAGAATGCCTTTATTTTGTTGTCACTCCTGAGGGATAGTTTTGCTGGATATAGCATTTTGGATTGACAATTCTTTTATCTCTTTAAAATGTTGTTATACCTCCTCTTGGCCTCCATGATTCCTAATGAGAAATCTGCAGTCATTTGGATAATTGTTTCTCTATATGTCATACATTATTTTTCTCTGGCTGCTTTTGAGATGACTTATTTTTTAGACTCAGAGTCTTGCTCTGTTGCCCTGGCTAGAGTGCAGTGGCATGATCATAGCTCACTGTAGTCTTGACCTCCTGGGCTCAAATGATCTTCCCATCTCAGCCTCCCAAGTAGCTAGGGCTACAGGCATGCATCACCACACTCAGCTAATTTTTAATTTTTCTGTAGAAGTAGAGTCTCCTTATATTACCCAGTCTGGGCTCAAACTCCTGGCCTCAAGTGATTCTCCTACCTCAGCCTTCCAAAGTGCTGGGATTACAGGCATGAGCCACTGTGTCCAGTCAAGATTTTTTTATTTGTCTTAAACATTCAGCAATTTTTATTATAATATGCTTGAGCGTGGATTTCTCCATTTATTCTGTTAGGATTTGCTTATTTTCTTGAATCAAGTTTGTGTGTTACACAAACTATGGGAATTTTACAGCCATTATATTTTTAATACTTCTTTTTTCTGTACCACATGCTTTTCTCTGTCCTTCTGGGACACCAATAACATGAAAGTAGACCTTTCTGTATTGCCCCGTAGGTTACTGAGGCTCTGTTCATTTTTTCCATTTTTTTGATTGGATAATTTCCATTAATCTGTTTTCAAGTTCACTGAAAACAGTTATTTTTCACTCTGTTATTTCCACTGTGCTATTATCAAGTAACCACATTTTAAAATTTTGGTTATTGTGTTTCTCAATTCTCAAATTTAATTTGGTTCTTCTTTATAGCTTCTATTTTTCTACTGAGGCTTCTCAGCTTTTCATTCATTTCAACGCTGTTTGCCTTCTTGGATTATAATACTTACCTTAAAGTCTTTGTTTAATCATTTCAATATCTAGACACTCTTGCCATTGGCATCTGTTGTGTTTTTTACCTGAAATTGTTAAACTTTTTCTTGATTCTTTATATGTGGAGTACTTTTTTATTGTATCCTGGCCATTGGAATATCATGGTATGAGACTCTGGGTCTCATATTTGTTTAAATCCTATATAGAATGCTGATTGTTATTATTATTTTTAGCCAGGAAGTTGACCCACTTAGTTTTGGGCAACAAGTTTTGATCTACTTTCTGTGGGCTACAGTTTCATTATCAGTTTAGTTTTCAAAGGATTTCTGGTGCTAGTCAGATATATTCTGCATATTTACTGTCCATTGGCCAGCCTGGGATCTTGGTGGTTGTCTGTTCTCTAGTTCAGTTCTCAAAGTCTTTGGTATATGTTTAGGATTGGATGCATATATGCTTATTTCAGGGATAAGCCCAGGAATACATAGACTACTTTATTAGATCCCCTTCTTCAGCTGCCTCCTGAAGGTAAGTGGCAGAGAGAGAGAGAGAGAGAGAGAGAGAGAGAGAGAGAGAGAGAGAGGGAGACATACATCAGCAGGTGAGCATCCAGAGCTGAGGATGCTGAGAATCCCTAGCCAGTCTAGGGGATATTGTTTGAGCCCATGGTCAATCTGTGCTTGGTCTCCAGACTTCTCAATCACTTGTGCCAATACTTTTTTTATTTCCTAAACTAGGTGAGATCAGGTCTCGTAAAAGAGTTCTGAGTAATATGTACGCCTCTCGTGAGCATGGCAGCCATGGTGGTGAATGAGATTGTGGAATAAGAATGTGTCGAGAGAGAAGAAAAGAGAAGCCTGTTTTAAAAGATAGGTAGGAAGAGGAGCCTGTGGAAGAGAATGAGAGGAGTGCTTAGAGACACAGGCGAGTTCTTTGTCATGAAAGCCCCAGAAAGAGAGTGAGTCAAGAGAGTAATTAACAGCGTAGAATACTTGTAGGGGATCAGTCAAGATAAGAACTGAGAAGGGCCCTTGGGATCTATCAACATGAGGCTGTTGACAAAACAGTTGTAGTTACCACACTAGAAGAGTCCTTTGAAATCATACTCTACACCCTCTTCTGCAGATGAGGCAAGTGAGGTAATGAGCTACTTAGTTTTTTAGTTTTTTTTTTTTAAGTGGCAGATACAGAATTACAATAAGTAGAGGTCAAGGCTCTAAGGATATTTAAAGGTCGCCTGCTCTGATTCCTTATCCCGTACTTGAGTCTCCTGTACAACAGCTCTCTAAAGCTCGTGCCTAAATGCATCTACTGGGAGAGAACTCAGTTCCCAGTTCTAATGAGAGCCCTTAGTGTCTGATTCTTTATACTTTGTTCTCTTATACCACAGGGCAGACACATGCCAGGAGATTGTCTGCATCTTGAGCTGATCCTGGTGGAAGCTGATTGGATTTGAGAACTCAGAAGATTTGGTCAGGTTTTGAGTTTTAAGAAGGCTCTTGGCCAAAATGAAACCCTCTCCTCATAACTCTGGCTGCTCCCTAAATAAAGCCAGATCCTTAGGGAATTCCAGGACCAGGATATTCCAGGTCCAGCATAACATTTCCACATGGGTGTTCATAGGCACCTCCAGCCCAATACATGAAAAGGTGAGTGCATCACCTTCCCCTGCCAAAACCTGTTTTTATTCTTGAGACTCTGACTCCTCTTCCATCCAGGTGCTCAAGACAGAACTCTGGAGGTCTCCTTGACTCTTCTCTCTCCTCTATTCCTCAATTTAAAATGAATCATTATTATTCTTCCCAAGCATCCCTGGAACATGTCAATTTCTTCCTATTCCACCATGCCTCTCAAGTACAGGCCACCATTACCTCCTGTGTGGACAATGATCAGCCTTCCAGCTGGTTTCCAGCTTCTAGTGTCTTCCCGTATAACCTGTTCTCCACATTGAAGCCTATCACCTCCATGCTCAAAATGCTTCAGTGCCTTCCCATAGCTCTCAGGATAAAATACAGGCTCCCTAACAAGGCCAAGAGTTTGTCCTTAATTCTAGGGCTTCTGCCTGCTCTGTAGCCTCATCTTGTGCCTCTCTTTCTCACTCACTTTCTGCACTTCATTGACAAAGCCATGCTATTTTTCTCCTTCAATGCTTTTCGCTATTCCCATTCTTGGAGCTCCTTTTTGTCACCTTCTCTAATACTGCCTATACATTCTTAAGATCTTTGTTTGGATATCACCTTCTCAATAAAGCCCTCCTTAACTACCCCCCAGCCTATCATAGGTAGGATTGTTGCCATCCCTCTCTTCTCACAGGTCCTTGGGATGCCTGTATTATGTAACTTTTACTGTTCTCCAGTTATGTGCTTTGAATCTTTCTCCCCATTTGACTCTAAGGCCCAGGAGAACAGGGAATATGTCTGCCCTCATTCTCACAGTATTTTTACTGCCTGGCACAGTGCCTAGCACACAGAGTGTGTTGAGCGTGTACAATTCTATGGTTTAATTATTTATTTAATGCTTTTGGTGTTGTTGGCACCACTTGGATGAAAAGAAGCTGGGCTCAGATGAATTAGTACACCAAAATTCTTACTGCACCTTACAGGGTTCAGATAGACATCTTCTACATTCTCTGCTGTCGCAGGGAGTACTGAGTGTAACAGCTGAGATGGGAGCTATTGTGGCCTCTCCAGAAGAACAGCCCTCAAAAGGATACCCCAGGAGGCCTCATTTCAATACCAAAAACTTCTCCCTGGAATACCAGTAAGCCCTATGATGACATCAAAGCCAACCAGGTATCTGATCAATGTGAGCTAATTACTATTAGCAAATGTGATTCCAGCCCAAACATAAAGCCTTGGTGGCCTAATCATCCGTTCACTCTTTATTCAGCAAATATTTAATGAGCACCTACTCTGTGCTAAGTGCTGAAAACACAAGACAGACAGGGGTCCCTGTCTGTTAGTCGACATGATGGTGGTCAGGTTGAGCATGGAGCAAAGGAGGGCTGTTAGTTAAATAATTACATAGTGATTGTGGTTAGTGCTATGATGTAAAAGTATTGGGTTCTCTAACAGCATGTAAGGGGGGTCCTGACATAGGTCTGGAGAATTGGAAAGGATTTCCCTGAAGCAGTGGCCTAGGTATACATAATTTTTGCCAGGCTATGAAATGCGCAAGGAGTGTTCCAGGCAGAGGTAGCAGCAGAGCAAAGGGACTTGGCAGTTGGGAAGGAGCATGATGCCTTTTAGTTGCTGAAGGAAGGCAAATGGCAAAGCATTTGAGAGATGAGATGGGCAGAAAGAAGCTAGAGAAGAAATCGGGCCCAGACCATGCCAGGCCTTATAGGCCATGGTAAGAATTTATAGATTTTATCTAAGAATGATGAAAAGCTCTCACCAAGAACTGTTTGATCCTCTGAGGGAACAGGAGTAGCTGCTGGCATTTAATTATAATAATACCCATGCATGGTAGGTGTGGTAGTTTTCAAACTTGGCTGTAAATTGACACTCCTTCCACTTAGAGATGGGGTCTATGTCCCCTCCTCTCAATCTGAGTGGCCTTGTGATGGTTTTGACCAACAGAGTGCGAAGGAAGTGACACTATGTGACTTGCAAAGCTAGGTCATAAAAGGTCATGCAACTTCTGCCTGTTCACTGGAACACTAGCTTTTAGAATCCTGCTGGAGAGGCCAAGGTAAGGCATTGTAGCTGAACCCAGCCTTTGAGGCAACACTGCCTGGGACCATGTGAAAAAGTCTCAGGTTATTCCAACCCCCACCTATTTGAGTTTTCCAGTCTGAGACCCCAGACATCATGCAGCAGACACAGCCATACCTGTTATATCCTGTCTAAATTTCTGATCTAAGACTCTGTGAGCATAATCGAATGATTGCTTTGTTATCCCACGAAGTGTTAATGTGGTTTAATATGCAAGAATAGAGAGCTGAAAGAGTAGATATATTATTAGTATTCTCCCATCTTACAAATGAAGAAGCTGAGTTTCAGAAAGATTAAGCAACTAGATCCAGGCCTTGCAGACAGTCAATAGTAGAGCCACGATTGAATCAAGGTCTGGTTAATTGCAGAGCCTGCTCCCTTCTGATGATCCCGGGTGACTCCTACACTGAGTAGGGCTCCCTGACAAAAATCTCCCAAGCTCCCCCGTTACTGCTCTTCAATCTGGAGACCCACTTTGGTCAATCTAGATTTCAATGACTAGGATTTGATTACAGAAACAGCCTTCGTGACACATTTGATTTGCATTCTTTTCAAATAATTGAAAGACATTCACTCTGCAATCGCTTCTTTTCTGACTTTATTTTCCCCTCCACACCCACAGGCAGGAGCCAGATATTTTTGCCAAGCCTGACAAATCTGCTCCTCTCC
Organism: Homo sapiens; assembly: GCF_000001405.40. Lineage (NCBI taxonomy): Eukaryota > Metazoa > Chordata > Mammalia > Primates > Hominidae > Homo > Homo sapiens. The sequence goes on along the minus strand of NC_000020.11, from coordinate 2,007,429 downwards.
CCACATTGCCCCCAGTGCACCAATGCCCACTAGTCCCCTATTAAATCCCAGTCAGGGTTGTGAGAAGGCTGATTCAGCTCCCTCTCCCCACCCCCTCAGAAGAGTTAGGGATGAGCAAATCACTTATTGGAGTAATTCTGGGAGCTGAGGCAGAGCCATGGCTGGAAGCCACCCACTAACAAGAAACCCAGGACATCAATCAGCCAAACTGATTTTTCCGCTGCCGCAGCCACTTAAACAGTTATCTTTGCTCGAGGCTTTGTCCAAAGTTACTCAATCAGTGGGTTCCTGGGCGATAAGTCACGGCAGCCTCACTGCACTGTCTCTGTGTCCTAGGGCTGCCTCTTTACTCACTTCTCGAGAGGGGTTGAAGTTCATTTTTTGCACTCTAAAAAGAAGAGCTCCTGCACTGCTTGCGCACATATTCTGGTTATAGCGGGAAGATGAAAAAGGATATTGAGGTCTGCTGGGATATCAATACGCTTCTCATTTGACGCCCTGCGGAGGCAAGGGAAGGATGTTTTAATTCATTTTATAGCGCCCCCTGCTGGTCGCGTGGTCCAGCTGCAACAAACGCATGATCCAAGCCTTCCGGGGAGCCCCTTATAAGCCATTTGTGGGGTGGGGAGGGGACCCATTAGCCACACAATCTCCTTTTCCATTTTACATATGGCAAAGTTGAGGCCAGAAAGAAAAACATGATTCCCTCAAGGTTGAATAGTGAGTCAGTGCTATTGTTAGAATCAGCCTCTCCCAAGCTGGCACCTTTTCTAGGCTCCGAGAGTGCCCAGCGCATAGTTAAGTGGCTCTGCTTGACAGCACAGCATGAAATTAGGAGGTCCTGGATTCAAACCTAAGCTCTGCCGCTTAATAGCTGTCACGAGAAGGGAGTTCTCAGAGACCCAGTTTTCTCATCTATGAAATAGGGGTAAAATAAAAATGGGTAAAATAGGATTTTGTGAGGATTCATTCATCCACACATTTATTAAAAACCTATTGAGTGTCTACTATGGGCCAGGCACCGTGCTGGGTACTTGCGGTATAATGGTGAATACAACATTGCAGTACCTGTTTTCTGCTTTTTTGTTTGTTTTTAGGGTGACAGTCTAATGAGAGTATTAGATAACATATGCAAATACACAGCATAAATTTAACAACTGTTGAGAAGGGAAACATTTTCCCTTTGATTCTCCACACTTTCCAAGTATCAGGAGGCTCGGGGCCTTGCCCCAGCTGTATCAGTTTAGGAATATTGATGACTCGAAGAGATTAAGTGATTTAAAGGTCAAGACCACATAAATCTCTGTATTCTTCAGTATGCCTGCCCCCAGGATGTGCTCAGTAAATATTTGTTTGGTTGCATGAATGTCCCACGTTCTGGCTTCCTCGCCTCCCCGGCTGCCAGCCAATCGCTGTCCGTGGTGCTGAAAAGCAAATTCCTGCTACCGAGCATGAGGCGGCGCAGGTGCTGAGGCAGAAAATGGAGCCCAGGGGAAGTGAATAAAGAGAGGAAGAATGAGCCAGCTTTTCACTGACTATTAGTGACATCTTCATTTTGCCATCTCTTGGAATCCAAAGCTAATATTCCTTTTTCCAGATGTCCCCACTTGGCATTTCTTGCTAGCTGGAAACACTGGGCAGATAGGTGATGCAGGATGATCATGTCTACAATGGGGGTGGGTGGGGGAGAAGGGGTACTGGGAGTCCACAGCCCCATAAAGCCCTATTTTAAAGTGTTCTGCAAAAGTGGTGGATTCTTTCTCTAGACTCTTCCTGGGCAAGGAAAAGGCAGCAGTCATCGATGCCTTCTCCAGCTGCTTTCATCCATGTCTGTCACCCAAGAATGTAGGCAGCTCTGAGTCAGAACTGGCTGTGGAAGTTCTGACTCAGATACTCAGATGTATATGGCAGAGTCATATATGTGGTATATAGTAGCCCAAAAGAGATCTGTCTGGGATTAACAGGCTGAAGCTGAGTGAGTGTTTCATTTTGACCCATATTTAATGTGATAATATTTTTACTTATTCATGCATTCTATAAATATTTGTTGAGTGCTTCCATGGCCTGGAACTGTTATAGGAGTTATAGATATACAGTCAAGTACAAGAAAGACAAGATTTCTGGCTTCCTGAAACTTACATTCTAGTGGATGAGAAAAAGAATAAACAAGTACACAAATGTGTAGCATAATTCCAAGCAAGAGGATAGATGATGATAGATAAGGTTCTCTTTTAGATAAGGTGATCATTGGAGGCCTCTTTGAGGAGGTTTCATTTGAGCACAGATGTGAATGAATTGAGATAATAAAACATGAAAATATTAGGGGAGGGCAGCATTCCGACTAGAAGCAACAACAAGAGCAAACACCCTGAGGTGGGAACAAGATGGCATATCCAAGGACCAGAAAGGGAGCCAGTATGAGTGGAGTAGATTAGACAATAGGGGACATGAAGACGAGATCCTGTAGGTCTTGAGGAGGACAAAGCAGGGTGTCTGGAATATGAGAAACACAAAATGACAGTTACTGCTGCACCTGCTATCATGTATTGATCATTGAGTATATAGTAGGCACTGTGATAAGCATTTACATGTATTAATATCATACTTGCAACAACCCTATGAGGAAAGTGAAGTTATTACTCCACTTCACTGATAAGAAAATTGAAGCCCAGAGAGATTAAGCAACTTGCCAAAGATCACACAGCTAGTCCAGGGCCCAGCCAGGCAGTCTGGCTCTGGAGCCCTTCATTGCTCCTAATCACTGTATTCTATTGATAAAAACATCATTACTCAGAGAGGTAAGTGAATTGCCTAGTTAGTTATACACAGCCCAGAGATGATGGATCAGACTTGAATCCTAGGATTCAGCCCTGGGGTATTTCCACTGCACCACACTGCCTCTTTCTATGGTAAAGCAGAATAAAGGAGAGAGGCTGTTCTGTGACAGCACCACAGAGGCAGGAGCAATTTTAATGCTGCCAGCGAGCCCCATGGGGATTTTATTTAAATGATAATCTGCACTCTGCAGTTGTCTGATATTCCCTCCCACTTACCTTTCTCAAATGTGAAAACCATGTCACTCCATGCACCCTCCCCCAGCAGGTAAATGCTTTACCAAGGAAGCTCAACCTTTCTGTAGGGATTTCAGGTGTTGAGAAAGCTCCCTCCTTAAATACCATTGTTTCAGGGGCTTGTAAAGATGACTCAGAGAGAGAGAGAGAGAGAGAGAAGCTGCAATGGAAAATTAATGATCTTATCTGAGATGGGACCCAGGCTGAAGGCTCAGCTTTAGGCTGATAAAGGCCCTTCAGCAAGGGCTCCAAGGAGTCCTGAGTTGTCACTGACCAGTTGTTTAAAGAGAACTCAGGAGCAAGGCTCCGAGCTACTTCTATTCTCTGCAACTTTTAATATTCCTGAGTGTGTCACAAAACTGGGAGGGTGTGGAGTGTGCGTGTTGAAGGATGTGTTTGCATGAGTGCTGCTGTTGTTTCTCTGTGTGTGTGTCTATATGTATTTGGGTGAGGTAGTGCTTCTATAAGTTTGTGTGTGAATCTGAGTACTAGTGAGGGTCTGTGTATTTGACCATGCATATGTGTGTCCGTTCAAAACCAGGTGTATGTATGAGTGTTTGTTTGGTGTGAATCTGTGTATATTGTTCTGTGGGTACTTGTGGGTCTCTGGGTGAGATGAGGGGAGGAATCCTAGATGTTTAGTTAGAAATTGGCAAATGCAGGCAGGCTAGAATAATGGAAGCAGTTAAAGTGCAGGTCTTTTTATGCTGCTACTGAGGTAGGAGAAGAAAAAGCAGTGAGGTTAAACCACATAGAAAACCTTTAAAAAGTTTTCATCTTCAATTTGGGGAGGATCGGCTACTATTAATAGTAATGGCAGTTTATAATTAACAATAGTATTGTGGAACCAGTCCCATCAGCTCCCATTTCAAGAATACCTACTGTAATCTTCATTATATTTAGTATCTGCCATTCTCATGACAACTCTGTGCTTTTCTCCATGTCCGTTTCACCGAGGAGGCAACTGGAGCTCAGAGAGGTTGAGTAACTTGCCCAGAGTCACACAGTTAGCAGGAGTGGAGCCCAGAGGAGAACTCAGGCATAATTGATACCAGAGGCTGAGTTTTTTTCCCCTCTCCAGACTGCAATTCTTCACCTACACCAGCCATCACCCCCATCTCCAGCCAGGCCCCAGACCCAGAATGTGAAGAAGAGGATGGCAGAGCAGGCACAACACAAAGGGGAGAACAAGGTTCTAGGCCCCACTTGTCCATGGAGTTGTGTGGCCTTAAGACAATAGTCTTCCCTCTGCACCTCCATTTCCTCATCACAGAAGTGAGAATCTGGATTCACTGGTCCCCCACTCTGACAGGGCCACAGGGAAGGGGTCTTTGTGGGTGGTCCTTATATCACCTGTGGAGTGTTGACCTGAAAAAGGGCCTCTGGGTGGAGGCAGAAGAGAAAATTCAAGATATGTGTCCACCTGGCCTAGGGCACTCACTCCTTTCCTTCCCAGTTGTGGGGGATACGCGTGCTTGGGCCTCAGCCCCCATTCCCATCCACTCCCCCTCTTCTCCTTGGTACACTTTCCCATATTGCAGAGATAGGAGTTGAAAACTATTTTCCCCAGCCTCCCTTGCGGCTAAAGTTCTCGATGTCAATTATGTTCTGTCAATTATCTAGGCTGTGTGAGATTTTGACTCTGGAATTGAAACAGAGGCCGTCTCTCTGCTGCTGTGGCTCTTTCCTCCAGCAGGAGCCATCATGATGGCATGGGGGTTTTTGCAGCAGCATCTCAGAGTCTGGTGGCCACCTCCATGGGTGTTGAGAGGCAGTTGTGATGACGTCATGGTGGCTCCCCAGTCCCAGCTTCCAGATCCCTGGACCCAAGTGTGACAGTAAGTTCTTGAACTCACTATTTGCAGGGGTGGTCTCCCATTTGCCTGGCTTTCTGATTGCATGGCTGGTTGGTCAGGTAGTATTCTGGGAGTCATTTACAGAGGCCCTGTTGACTCCTCCAGCGCCTTCCCTCCGCTAGCACCTTTTAGAGTTCCTTATCCCCTGTGTTAAATCAACTTTTGCTTTAAAAAGCCTGGATGATTTCTTTCAGCTGCACAGAACTCTTTCTGGTCACCATGGAGCTCTCCTACTCATCCTTCAAAACCCAGCCTTGGTCTCTAGCTCCAGGATGACTTCCCATATTGAACAGACTGGCTTGGGTACTTCTGTATATCCACACCTCTATCTCAGCCCCGTCCAGGTGGTGCTGAAATCACTGAAAGTACTGTTTACTTCCTATCATCCCTGCCAGCTTGTGATCCCCAGAGGGCAGGAACTGGGTCATCTTAGCCATGCAGCTCAGTGTTTAGTAGAGAACCTGGCCTATAATACATACTCCAGGTGTCTTGTGGAATGAATACAGAAAAGGCCACAATTTGTCAGCTCAATAGGATTTAGGAGAAACTGTAAGATTTATGACTGAGAAAAAATCAGTTTAATCTCCTCCTTTGGCAAAAAGAAACTCACCTGGCATAAAGAGCTATTATTAGGAATGATGTATATTATGGGGCTCATGGGATGATGAGGAGCAGGTCTTAAATGAAGGGTCTCATTTCAGATCAAATACCCAGAATCTCCGGGCAGGTCTGTCCTCTTGCTGATGCCCAGGCTGCTGCTGAGGAATTAGGAGATGGTGGCTTTTGAGAGGTAGCTTGATGAGTGAAAAGAGCCCTGGCTTTTGAGGCAGACAGACCGAGGTTTATAACCTAGCTGTATCACATTCTGTGTAACCTCAGACAGGTGATTGAGCCCTCAGCTCGGTTTCCTCATCCGCAAAGTGGAGCTAATGATATTTACCTCCTAGAGTTGTTGTGAGGGTTAAATGAGACAGTTTAGGAGATGTGCCTGGCACCTAGCAGAGACTTGATGAGTGGAGGCTGTGATTAGATTTTAGTGATGTGAGATGTAAGGTTTTTCTCTTTTGTGCAGGGGGCTAAAAACAGTTCACATTATTACCCAGTGAAGTCTAGACCAGGCATCCAATCCTGCCACTGACCTCTTGTTCGACTGGCAGCAGAGGTCAGGCACATGTTCCAGACACGTGGTCATAAATGTGAAGCCTGTAGTCCGGACCCAGAACATAGTAGGTACTCAGTAAACAGGTGTCCCTCCTTACCATGTGCTGGTCAAATTCTTGTTCAGGTCTTGGTCCCAGAAGTCTAGGAAGGACAGAGGAGCATCATGGGTGGATGTGACAAAGCAGAAAGGGGCACAGACTTTGGAGCTATACAGATCTTGATGTGAGTCCTGACTCTGTCCGTGTCCTGCTGCGCTACTTAGGAAGTCATTTCACCTCTCAGTGTCTGTTTCTTCATCTGCAAAGTAGAACTTACAGTGCCTGCCTAACTGGGCTGCTGAGAAGTTACTAAAGATCATGTATCCCTGTTCTTAGCATTCTGCCTGGCACAGGGTGACTCTCAGTGGATAATAGCATGTATGCATTTGCTGCTTTTGGGTTTCAGCTTGCCTCTGTGAGGTAGTAGTGCAAAGCATGGTCTTTACAGTCAGAGGAACTTGGGGTCTATTCCATTTATGAGCTGTATGACCTCAGGCAAGTGGCCACCTCTCTGAGTTCAGTTTCTTCCTCTGGCAGATGAAGGCAAAAATAGCACCTACCTTGTTGATTTGCTGTGAGGATTAAATGGGATAATAATACATAGAGACGAACTAGCAGAGTGATGGGCATCAAGTAGACGGACAACAACTATCAGCTCAGAGTGTGGAAGTTGTGCTGCCAGCTGAGGCAAAATAGGAGAGAAGGTGAAGTTTTGCCCTTTGGGAATGGGTAGTTCTGTGGCTTCATAATGCTGTTGCATCCATTACCACTATCTACACCAGAATGTTTTCATCACCCCAAGCAGAAACTCCGTGCAATTTAAGCAATAACTCCCCACTTCCCCCTCCGCCTAGCTCTTGGTAAACTTTACTCTGCTTTTTCTCTCTATGAATTTTCCTGTTCTAGGTACCTCATAGAAGTGGAATCGTACAGTATTTGTCCTTTTGTGTCTGGTTTATTTCGCTTAGCGTAATGTTTTCAAGGTTTGCCCATTCTGTAGCATGATCCAAACTTCATTCCTTTATATAACTAAATAATTATTTGTTGCATGTGCATCTGCCACATGTTGTTTATCTATTTTTTTGTTGATGAACACTCAGGTTGTTTTTAACTTTTGCTGATTGTGAATAATGCTGGTATAGGCTGGGCATGGTGATCACACTTGCAGTCCTAGCACTTTGGGAGGCTGAAATGGGAGGATCACTTGGGGCCAGGAGTTTGGGACCAGCCTGGGCAACATAATGAGACCCTGTCCCTAAAATAAATAAATAAATAAATAAATAAATAAGCTGGCTTACAGGGAACTGTGATCACATTACTACACTCCAGCCTGGGTGATAGAGTGAAACACTGTCTCTAAATTAATGGTGATGATGATGATGATAATGATGCTATAAACATTGGTGTACAAGTGTCTGAGTCCTTATTTTCAATTATTCTGGGTGTATATGTAGGAGTGAAATTGCTGGGTCATATCGTAATTCTATGTTTAACATTTTGAGGAACCCATCAAAATTTTTTTTCCATAACACTGTACCCTTTTACATTCCAGCCATAACACATGAAGTTTTCAATGTCTCCATTTCCTTGACATTGGCTCTTTGAGGTGCATTAGGAGACCAAACTTTGTTTGGCAAACTCCTATTCATCCTTCAAAACCCACCTCAGAGTTTGCCTACTCAGGGGTCCCCAGACAGAGTACATCACTGCTGCCTCTGTATCTTGCATTGCTTTGCTTTTGCACCCACTCCATGGTGTTTTATGCCAACAGATATCCCTTATTGGACTGTGAGTTTGTTGAGCATAGGAATCTTGTTGGATTTGAATCTGAATCACCAGCACCAGAGCACCAAGAAATGCTCATGAGCCAGATTAAATGATTGAATAAGTTCCCTCCAGATCTCTGAGTTCTCTGTCCACATGGAGAGCCATTGCCAACCCTTTCCAGCCTCCAAACGTGCTTCAGATAAAGTGCTATGTTGACCTGGCCCTTGGGGTCCTGTGTGGCTTCTTCTCCATTTCCCATCTTTCACTCTGTGCTCCAGCCACACTGAACCATTTGTTGTTCTCTTAGTCACTAACTCAACGAATGTGTACTGAGCACTTACAATGTGCCAGGCGAGACAAAATTCCTACCTCCCTAGAGTTTACATTCCACCAGCGGAAACAGGCAATAATCAGATAAACCAATAAATATATTGCATCAGGGAGGGATAAATGCTGTGGAGACTGACAGAGGTGGGTGAGGGATGGAGAGGGACAGAACACAGGGTGTGCAGAAGAGACCTGTTTTAGGAAGTGACGTTTAAGCCCAAAGCCAGATGCAGTGATGGAAGGAATGTGGGGAAAAGTGTGTTCCTCAGAGAAGGCACAGCAAGCACAAAGTCCCCGAGGCAGGAATGTGCTTGGTGTGTTTGAGGAGCAGCAGGGAGGCCAGGGCAGCTGCAGGAAGCGGGGAGGACAGGAGGTCAGCAGAGAGTAGACCTTCCAAGTGAGGAATATGTGGACCTTCTTCCAAGTCAGATGAAAACCACTGGAGTGTTTTAAGCAGGGGTGAAGTACAATCTGAGTTGCTTTTCTTTTTTTTTTCTTTTTTTTTTGAGACAAGGTTTCACTCTTGTCACCCAGGCTGGAGTGCAATGGCGTGATCTCCGCTCACTGCAACCTCTGCCTCCCAGGTTCAAGCGATTCTCCTGCCTCAGCCTCCCAAGCAGCTGGGATTACAGGTGCCCACCACCATGCCTGGCTAATTTTTGTATTTTTAGTGGAGACAGGATTTCACCATGCTGGCCAGGCTGGTCTTGAACTCCCGACCTCAGGTGATCCACCTGCCTTGGCCTCCCAAAGTGCTGTGATTACAGGTATAAACCATAGCACCTGGCCTGAGTTGCATTTAAAAGAATCTCTCTGGCTGCTGAGGAACAAATAGTAGGCTGGGTAAGGGCAGAGGAAGAGGCCAGCCATCTAGGAGAGAAGTGACAGCGACCGGGGGCCCAGGCGATAGAGTCAGAAGCAGTGAAGAGGAGGTGTCAGGGCAAGAGAAAGAGGGGAGTCAAGAGCAACTCCCCCACCATCCCACTCAACTCTTCTTGCTTGTAGGCCTTTGCCTAAGCTGTTCCCTCTGCCTGACATGCCCTTTCTTGCCCTCTGCCTGGAAAACTCCCACCTGTGCCTCAGTCTTCAGCTTCACGCTCACTTTCTCCAGGAAGCCTTCTCCCAACTCTTCAGCAGGCTGGTTGGGAGCCCCTTTTCTGTTCCCACAGTATTCCAGGTCTCCTAGCCCCTACTTGCCGTACTGCTGTGAGTGGCTGTTCCTATACCTGCCCCTCAACCTGGATTGTGAGGACAAAGAGGGCAAAGTTGTGTGTGGCATGTTAAGCCCTAAGGGCTCAGCACTGAGAATGGCACATTGGGATGTTTCAATACAGATATGTGGAAGAAAAGGAAGAGGAAGAGGAAGAAGAAGAGAAAGAGAGAGAGAGAGATGATGAGCACAGCTCCTCACTCCCTCTTGCAGCAGCGAGGCACAAACACGACGGCTGGGGCAGTGGGAGTCTCTCACGCGCTTGCCCACCCAGCCCCGGTGTGGACATCCACGCTGGACACACGGCAGCATGAAAAGTGATTTGGGAGACTTGATGCTGACCACAGGACCGGAACTTCATCCCACTGAGGTCCTCCTGAGTGATCCATGTTGCCTGCTGCCACTTTTCCAGGCTGACAGGTGAGTAGAGAACGCACACAGAGCTCGGAGCATGAAGCAGAACAGGGAGGAGAAGCCCAGGCGCAGCGCAGCTCATGGCTGGGGCACATGCCTGGAGTCGGATTGCCTGGGATCAGGCTGTGCTCTGCCACTTTCTACCTGTGTGCCTTTGTGCGAGTGACTTAACTTCTCCCAGCCTCTGTTTCCTTCTCTGTAAGGTGGGGGCAGGAATTGCATCTAATGGCAGAATGGTGGGGAGAATCAGGTGTTGATTTGTGTCAAGGGTTTACAATGGGGCCTGGTAGTAGACAGCCCTTCAGAAATGCTGGCTTTGTTTCTTAACTTTTCTGTCTTCCAGCCTGTGCTTCCTGAATCCTACCTAATGGAGTGATTTGAGGACTGGTTGTTTTAAATCTTTCCTTTTCTTTACTCTTTGCCTTTTGCCCACCTCGAGATCTGCAGTAGAAACTGGTCATGCACGGAGGGTGTGCAGGGAAGGGAGCATTCTAGAGCTTTGGAATGAGCCCTGACATCTGTATAAAAGCTAGCAGCATCCTCCTGTCTTCAGAATGACTCAGGTGCTCAGAGAGGCGAAGTATCCATCAGTTGTCACACAGTGAGGAAGCAGTGGCGTCGGGATCTAAGCTGAAGTGAGCCTGGCTGAGCCATGGTACCCACCCCCGGGACTGCTGCCCACAGGGCCAGCACCATGATTGGTGCATCACTGAGCCCAGGAGAGGGTGAGCTTTATGGCAAGGTTCTCCAGGACTAAGGGGGAAGGCTGCTCCTGGCCTTCTATGTGTGTGTGTGTGTGTGTGTGTGTGTGTGTGTGTGTAAAGGAGGCTGCGGAAGGAGAGGAAAGGCAAATGCAGGAACTATTTGCTCTTGAGGCAACAGTAGACTCAGGGGGTGAAGGATATCAGACATCAATGGCTTAATGAGGATTATCCATGAGTGTCTCTACTCTCACTGCCCCAACTTCCCTCTGGTGAATAACAGTCAGGAGAGGCCCCTGTCCTCTGCTCTTCCAGTGCTTGCTGACTTCCAGCCACGGGAGCCATTGTACTCCCTCTCTAAGAGTCTCTGTGTATTCGAAGGTTATTACCAAGAGCTTATAGAGGCAGAGGTTAGGAGGAGAAGGAGGAAATGAAAAATGAGGAAAGAGAGCAGTTGGAGTGAGGCTTTGGCCTTGGGGATGAAGTAGACGCTCACTCCTGGGCTCCCAGATTCCCAGGGTGGCAATGAATAGACTCCACTCATGTCCTCTGGCCACCATGCAAGAAGCCAGCCTGAGATGTGGCCAAGTGCTTGGTGACCCTGCGCACTGGCTATCACCAACTGGGCAGGGGCTTCCACATAGGGCACCAGGAGTCGCTTGCACCCGCCAGTCAGACCCCTTGTGCTGCCTCGGGAAGAGGAGACAGGGAGGAGAAGGAAAGTGAGGCTGTGGGTCCAGAGGGGAGTGTGGTGGGGCTGCAGCTTCAGGATCTGAGGGATGGGTCTCGGTTCTTCCTCCCTCCCTGGGTGGCTGGGGCCTCTCTGAACTTCTGCTGCCTTCTCCATCTGAGGACGCATTGTGAGATCCACACCACAGGTTTTCTTGTTGTGAGGATGTGATGGAATGTGGAAATGTCTGAGGCATAATAGGTGTTCAGCAAACAGCCCCTTCTACCCTCCTCCTTATGTGAGAGTTTAACGAGCCAGGTGCAGGGAGAGGAGGATGCCCAGGAGAACCTGCTGCATCAAAGCTGGAGGGATGTGGTTTATCAGGAATGATGGGAGCAGAACATCCGCTCCGTACTGGCTGCTTTAAGTGCTATTGACACATCCTCCTTTCACCCTCACAAGAGCCCAAGAGCCCCATGATACTGTTGTCCCCACTGTACAGATGAGCAATCAGAGGTTGAAGTTGGCAGCTTATCCAAGGTCTCTCCGATGGTGAGTGGCAGACCTGAGAGTCAAACTCACATCTTAAATGTCATTAAGCACAGCCTGTGTATGGAGAGGCTGAGTCCCAGAGAAGAAAACTGACCCCACCCCTCAGTGTGGGCAGATTCAAGCCTGGGGAGAGGCAAGGGAGGGGGCAGAAACTTGGAGGGTAGATGGACCTGACTTTAGGTTCTAGCTGGATGACTTACTTGCTGTGTGTCTCTAGGAACTTGGAGGGTAGATGGACCTGACTTTAGGTTCTAGCTGGATGACTTACTTGCTGTGTGTCTCTAGGAACTTGGAGGATAGATGGACCTGACTTTAGGTTCTAGCTGGATGACTTACTTGCTGTGTGTCTCTAGGAAAGTTTCTCAGCTCTCAAACCTCTGTTTTCTCATCTGCAAGATGGGGATAATATTAACCAACTGGCTAGGTCATGAGGATTAAATCTGACAACTCTACCTAACCGCCTGGTGCAGCCAGGTGCCCACAAAATGGGCGGCCCTGCCAGACTTCTGAAATAGTTGTGCCTCCCACCACAAACTGTCTGCTATTGACTGAGAAGAGAAGCATGTTCTCTTCCAAACTCAAAGACCCTTATGTTCTGGAAGATCTCTGTAGCAATGAAGAGTGCCACCTTCAAGCTGCTGCTGGTCCAGGCCAAGGGTATATTGAGGTGGGTCCATCCCTCACCCAGAGTGTGTGCTGAGGCATATTGCAGCCCATATTTTGAGGGGTTTTTCCTGCTATTCATTTTGTGTTGCCGCCAGAGAAAACTAAACTGCAGCTCCTGGCTGTCGGGGAAGAGCTGTGCTTCTGCCAGGGCTAGTGTGCCTGGCACCAGCTCAGGCATGTACCAGAGCCGAATGCCGTTTGCAGGCAAATGTACACACAAAAAGATTCCAGCACACGCGTGCACCAGCCAACACAGAGTTGCCACGGCACGCAACAGCGGGCCATGCACGTGCCTGCTGACTCGGCTGTCATCTTCCGACTCTCTTCCGTGATCAGAAGACTGTCTCAGCCTCTGTCTGTCTCCACGTCTGTCTGTCTGTGGATCAGTGTGTTTTGAGTCTGACAGTCTACCTGGCTGGTTTCCTTTTTTCTTGCTCTGTCCCTCTCTCCTTGTGTTTCTACCCATCTCCCTATCTCTGCCACTCTCTGTCTCTGTTTTTCTTTCTCTTTCTCCCCTCCTTTGTATCACTCCCTAGGTCCGACATTGCCTCTTTCTCGATTTCCGATTCTCTCTGAGTCTCTCTCTCTCTCTCTCTTTCTCTAACTCTTCTGTCTCTGTCCTTCCCTGTCTTCTTTTTCCTGTGACACTCTCCTGGAAACGCATCAAAAACTGAAGTGGCCGGATTTCAAGTGACAAACAGCACTACACCCAGAATCCGCCCCCTCCCCAACACGGCTGCCTTCCTCCTCCACATCCCTGTCACGAAGAGAAGCCTATTGTGTCAGGCCCAGGGAGTTCGAGTTGAAGGGCCTGGGGGTCTGTGCTCTGACTGCTCTCAGCCACTTCCCCATTGGCTCCCAGCAGCCTGTGCTCAGCAAGGGCTGAGCGACAGGGGAGGCTCTCGTCCATAAAAGGGGGGAAGAGGCACCAGAACTGCCATTTGAAGGGGCTTTGGTGGTGTTCACAGCTGCCTCTTTGGCACCTCCTCCCAAGCCGGAGTCAAGGAGGCCCCTGAGCCTTGGACCAGCCACTGCCACCTCCGACCTGCTCGGCCAGAAGCTGCCCAGGGACAAAGCAGAGTGCAGGTAACATCCAGAGGGGGCACTGGAATTCTATCGCTTGGTTTTATTTGCTTATTCCTGGTCCTCTGGACCTAGAGATGGTGGGAGCTCGGGCTGGGGATTTTAGGTTTGGGTCTGATTATCTAGCAAAGGTGGTTACAGTTAGGAGGCTAGTTCACAAAAGCCAGACCAGTGAGAGACTGCTCTTTGGACTCTCCCTTTCTGCACAGTCCTGGCTTAAACAGGTGGTAAGCTCTCTCCCAAGAGGACCACCCTTTGGCTTTAGCTCCAGGGTCTCCTTCTTGCAGTCTCCCACACAGCAGTTCCCATGCCATTCCCAGGGTCTGGGGAAAATGGGACACCCTGGATGGGAGAAGTGAGAGGTTTCACTAATCAGGGTGATTTTAAAGGTCAATGAGTCTCACTGGACTTAGAGAACAATGGCTTGAGGACATTAATGAGATCCAAGGCTCTGGCATTTATCACATAACATGTACATCAATGTACGGCCAGGTTCGGCCTTTTCATTCTTTTCGGATTGTGTTTAATTGCTGACAGGGTGCTGGTTTGAGCGGCTTCTTTTGATGGAATTTGATACAGGTTGAAGTTTGGGGATGTTTTGTTGGAAGGGAATGGGAAAAGGGAGTGACAACAAGCCAGGAGGCCCAGGCTTAGCAGGCATTTTCTTGTCCATTTTACTTGGAAAGGACTTGTTGCTCTCCTATTAACTACAGCCAGAGGAGTCTAAGGCCAGGAGGAGGCTCAAAGGGAAAGCCATTTGCTCACTGGTCCAGAGACCCATATTCAGAAAAGTACCAAGTCTCAAAGTTTGATTCTAGCAAAAAGCTGATGAGTTTCAGGAAAAAAAAAAAAAAAAAAAAAGCCTGCTGACTACTCCAAGGTTGAAGAGTAAATTCTGCAACTGCTTACTTTTTCCTGGGTATCAAGAATCCCTCCAAGCTCTACAAACATTACTTAATTAAGTCTCCAGTCTTCCCAGGGGAAACAAGCTCTTTCGATTATTGGATCTGATTTCAATTCCCCTCCCACAGACTGAAAGTCTTCATTATCATCTTTCTTCCAAGGGTTGCTGAAATATACAAGGCTTGCCTTTCTAATTTGACAGGCATCCCAGTCGAGATCCATTGCAAAGCATTGCAGAATGTCGATCCTCTTCTGTTCTTTCTCACCCCAGGCCTCACTCCCACCCCTCTGTGGCACCTTCCTTCTCTTTTCCCCTCCTCTTCTCCCCCCAGTCCCACCACACCTTGCCTTTGTTCTATTTTTGCAGGTCATTTATCTTCAGGCTTTGAGATCTGCGTGGGGGGAGCTGTTGCAGCAGCCCAAGCCGGTGAGTTATGCTGCCTGGGGGTGGTTTGCGTTCACTGACGGGATCTCAAGCCCACTGCTTTGCCCCAGCTGAGCTAGAGGTGTGATAGGTGGCAGGCAAACCCTATGCCTCTGTTGGCAGCTGGGAGGGGGATGTCACACTGGTTCCCAAGGCTATGTGGCGGAAGGCAGCACATTTTAAGGGAGCAGGCAAAGGGATCAGCTCTGGGGCTATTTGAGAGATTTGCGATCTTAAAACACGTGGAAGGAGTTAAGGTTTCTTGAAGTAACTCCTGGGAGGCAGGAATTTTCCATCTGTCATCTACACGTGTGTCTCACAACACCTGAAACAGTGCTGGGCTGAAATCCCAGATCCTACCACTCACTTACTGTGTGACTTTGGAACAGTAGAAGTCCCTCTCTGAGTCATACTTTCTTTACCTGTATGATGAGAATAATAATAATATTCACCTCCTAAGGTTATTGCAAGTCTCCAATGGGATATAGCAAAATGCCTGGCATTCAGTAGGTGCTCAATAAATACTGGCATGACTGCTCAGATTTTCACTGTTCCGAAGTGGTGAGGTTGGACCTTTCTCTCCATCGATTATCATATCGCTGATCATCCCACTCCATCATGCTGTGTGCTATGTCCAGGAGATATGATCTAATGTCTAATATTTTCATTTGAGGGGCTGGTGCTCCTTTCCCCTCCCCATCCCAGCAGAAGACTTTTTATTTCATCTGCTGCATCAGGATCATGAAGTCTCTTTTTGATCGATACTCCCTAAATCCACCTCCCACTACCCACCTCCTTGGGTCATTCCTGCACAATTGTCGTATTTATTAGATCTCTTCCATCATTGTAAGAGAGATCAATAGTTACTGGTTCGATTTCAATGCATGCCTGACAAAGTGTGGTTACACAGCTGATTTCTCTCACTGTATTCACTCATCTCAGCCCATGAATGTTGGCTAATCTTGCTGGGTCTGACAAAGTGATAAACCTGTTTCACTGAGACAGAGCTGGCCACTGTGGTAGGCAGTGAACATCGGCTGGAGACACCCAGGTAAGCCCCAGGATCAGACCCTCGAAATGGAGTGGGGTCTGTTAGTGCTGTGAAGCGCAGCCTCATCAGTCCCTCCCAGCCTGGATCCAGACTGATGCTCCTGGCAGGAGGACGATGGCCTAGGTCCATGAGGCACATGGCTTGGCTCAGGGGGCTCCTCCGAGTCCATCCAGGTCATCCCACTGGCCAGAGCGGCTGGCCACAAGCCGCAGACATATGCACCGAGGCAATTTGTTGATGCATTGGCTTGAACTGCCATTTGGTCCCTGTCCTATTCCTGGACGATTTGATTTAACTTGACAGCGGTTTACTGAGCAGTTATTATGTGGCAGGGTCTCTTGCCCACTGGTCCCTAGGAACAAAGGGCAGACTCAGAGAGCAGCAGGAGGGAGAGAATTGGTGTTTGTGATTCACACGGTATGTCAGCATCCTGAATCAAAATCTACTCTCCCTCCCCACTTCTCTCTCTCTTATTGTGTTCACTTCCCTTCCCTTTTTTCCCTCTTCTTCCCCTCCTCCTCACCCCCTTCCCTTCTATTCCCATTTGTCCTCTCCCCATCTCTATGTCTCATCTTATTTTTTCTTCCCATATGGTCCTCCACCTCTCTCTGCTTTTTCTCGGTGTCTCGGTCTCTTTTTCTGTGTGTGCAGTTCTCACCTCTGCCATTCTTTTGGGCCCCTGTCTTTTTCTCTGTGTCTATATCTCTAACTCTCTCTTTTTACATCTCTCTCTCTATGTCTCTTCATCTCCATATCTCTCTAGCTTATCCTCTTTTTGCCTTTCTCCCCATCCCTTAATTGCACCAGATAACAAAAAGGGTGGCGGTTCCATCCAAACCTTGCTCTTGAAAAACGTTCTTTTAAATATGCAGTGAATGATCCCACCAGGACCACTGCCTGCAAGGCCGTCTTTCCCTCTGGTCTCTGCACAGCAAATGCAGCCGACCACCAAACGGGACCCTCATCCGATTCTGTGCTTTGATCTTTGCCAGGCTAAAGTGTGGGTTTACTTTCTGTTCAGAACCCGAGCCTCCTTCCCATTGATCATTCGTCTTTCGTTACGATGCTAACACCTAACAAGGGGCACCGCTTTTCCAGGTTCAGGGGCTCCCTTTGCCAACCACCTGGAGACCCACAAGGGTGAACTTTACACTTTCGAGTGTGGGGCAAAAGCTTCTGAAATGGTTTCAACGTCAGGAATGTGAGAGTTTGGGAGGTTATCCGAAAGACACTCGATACATATTTAGGCCTCAGGATGGTTTGTGGCGTGGTCAGCAGACTGACTCTGAAATCTTATTCTGCTGTTTCCTTGCTTCTTGGTCTTGGCCCAGTCTTTTAGACTCTGAGCCTCTGTTTTCCCCATCTGGAAATGGAACTAATAGTTCCCAACCCACTGGATTCTCTTCAAGAGAAGAGAGAAATAATTGAGATAAAGTGGACAGCAAAGAGCTTGTCCCTTCTCATAGCTACACCCTAAATGAGGAATGCGATGGACTTAGAGAATTCCAACTCTGCCATGCTCTGTGACCACGGAGAGGCACTTTGTCACTTGATCCTCACCTTCCCATCTGGATCCCAAGCTGTAATATTAGCCCCTGCCCCGTAGGGTCCACGGGAGGCACCTGGAGTGCACGGGGCTGGTGCAGAACAGCGTCTCAGTCCTTGCTGGCTGTTAGGATGGTTGTCATTGCAGGGTCATTGAAACAATGGCATCTCTTTAGTGGGAGTCACGGTTCAGGTGTGGGAGGCTGGAGTTCTGTCTCCATTTCCCTCGTGACTCATGATATGACCTTAAACAAGTGACTTCATTTCTACCTTTTCCCATTTCCTCTTTCATCAAATAGGGGTAATCATATGCGCTAAAGTGCTCAGAGAGATAATTGCAATGTTAAATCAAGCCATTATTATTCCATGCTGGCTTTTTAAATAAAAACGCTTGCGGCTCCTCTGAGCCCTCAGCTGACTACAATATAGAAATATCATCGAGAAGCCAAGACGTCAAAAAGATCATTCCCTTTCAAGGAACTCTGGGCCCTGGGTGAAAAGAGGGTCTACCTTGTGCTGGCCCTTTAAGCAGTGCTGTCTCAGTGCAGGAAGATGATACACCCCAATCACAGATGAGAAGACTGAGGCTTGTGGAGGAGGTGGCACCAAATGACCGCAGAGCCCATGCCTTTCCCTCTCAAGGAAAAGGTAAATCCCAAGGCAAGCCTCCCCAGGTCCTCTCAGTATTTGCCAGGAGAGCAGTCCAGGCAACTAGAAAGGGCTCAGGGCTGAAGAATGGGGCCAGTTGCTTCCTGCCTCTTCCATCAGGAAACCCACCTGACCTCCTGGCAAGAGATCCATCCACTAGCAAGGCATAAAAAATGTTTTATTATTTAAGAATATGTTCAAGTGCCTGAGGACTCAAGAAAATTAGCTTAAAAACTATTAGAATCATAAAATGTTTATAAAACCAGTCAAAGTACGGTCAGCAAACCTTGTCTGTAAAGGACCAGAGAGTAAATATTTTGGGCTTTCTTGGCCCTACAGTCTCTGTTTCAGCAATTAACTCAGCTTTTGCAGCATGAAAACAACCACAGACATAGATGCAAACAAAGGGGCATGGGTGTCGTATTAGCCAAGGTTCTCCAGGGAGGCAGAGCCAACAAGGTGTGCCTATCCGCAGAAAGAGATTGACGTAAGGAATTGGCTCATGTGATTAGGCAGGCTGGTGAGTCTGAAACAACCCCACCTGTTAGGGGAGAATCACCCCACTGCCCCATCAGCCCCTCTTTCCCCTACTGGGCTATTACAAAGCACCCGAGGTAGCAGCTGAGAAAAAGCTTCACAAACTGCCAAGTGCAAAGGACTTTTCCTTGTGTGGCCTCCGGGTCCTTGGCCAAGTCTGTGAAAGAAGACCATGCAGGCCCTCCATCAGGGTCAGATACTGACATCATGCCTCCCGCTTACCAAGGGGGCTTGCTTCCCACTTCTCATCCCGATGATCGGCAAAGTTCCTTTCCTCCTTGGCCCATCCCTAATCAGACATGATAGGCAGGCAGGGCTCTCTCTTATGTGTGACTTCCCAGCTCCATTCCTTGGCAAATCCCCATCAGAAAGGTCGAAATGCTTCCCCTGGGGCCCATCTGACATTGTTCAGTAATGTATTTATCCTATAAAAGGAAGGAAATAGGATCACCTATGAAATTGTGAGGGCCAATGTGTCTCTACTAGGGTCCCCTTTTAACCCGGAGGGATCTGGACAGGAGCCCAACTCCCCCATTCATAACTCCAGGTGAACTTGGATGAGCAAGTTCCCCTTTCTCAGCCTCAGTCTGGCCCTCTGTAAAATGGATATTAAAAGAAAAACATGCACCTCTGGGGCTGCTGTGAGGATTGGAGCTAATATGTACAAAGCAGTAATGCACAGCCTGGCACCCAGTAGGCTCCTGAGAATCGGTGGCTGTTGCTGGGTTGACAGGATCATGGATGAAGGGCATTCAGCCCAGACCAACACCCAGCAGGCCCTCCGTCCACGGCAGTGAGTCATGCAGCAGCATTTTTTGTTTCTGCAGTGTGCCAAGCTCTTTATGATCTCTCCTTTTTGCCCTCTTCTTTTCCTATCCCCTACAGCTCAAGTAAGACTAGACTGGAGTCTTCATACTCCCCTCTCCAAAGCACCTACTATGTGCCAGGTGCTTCAAGCACAAGCTAGGTGCTTCAAATGTGATCATTTATTTAGTTCCTATGTCCACCCTCTGAAGCATTATTATTAGCCCCATTTTGTAGCTGAGAAAACTGAGGCACAGTAAAGCTAAGTCATTTTCCTAAAGTGGTGGTAAGTGGTGGGCTGAGACCTGAGCCCACTTTACTGACCACTTGGTGATCCTGCTTCGGGGTCAGGAAAGAATTTGAGGTCCTACCTCTCCTTTCTCAACAGCTGTGTCCCTTCCACCCCATGCTGCTTCTCCGAGTTAGAGTGGGTAATTCAGGGGCTGCAGACTCACTTGTCTGTCAGGCAGTCGGCAGTGAGGGAAGCCCCAGGTGGTTCCGCGGGTGGCGATGGGCAGTATGGCTCTTCCTCTGTGACTGTTGCCATATTGGAATACAGGCTCAATGTCCCCAGGCCTTTTGTTTTTTCAAGACAAATTGAAAATTGAGATTTTTTTAAATGTAAAAATTGCCTAATTTTAAAATATTGCCTGTTTATTTTCATAACTAATTGGTGTGCAGCTCCTGCTCTCATTCTAGCCCTGTATGAGGTACTGGGACACCATTCATTCATTCATTCATTCATTCATTCATCAATCACTCAAACTTCCTTAGTCTTCCAGTCACATTTAGATCAAATGCAAACTCTCCCTTGGCCTATGAGAGCCGGCATTATCCATCCTCTGCCCACCTCTTTGCTTTTTCACCCCAGTCTCTCCCTTACGTCCCTTCATGCACCCTGGCCTCTTTGTCATCCTCAAGCACAACACACTCGCACCTCAGCGACCCCCCTACCTGCCCATAAGGGACTGACAGGTAAGTGGTAATTTTGTGATGGAGCCAGCATAGGAGGCCGTGGGAGCTCAAAGGAGGGAACTAATCCAGATAGACTTCCTGGAAGAGGCAACTGAGGCTGAGTTTTGAATAATGAGTAAGAATTAGCCAGGTCAAAGTGTGATGGGAGTGGATGAGTGGGTTGAGAAAGATGTTCCTGTCAGAGGAAACCCTTTGTGCAAAGGCTTGGAGGGTGGGGTGTGTGGAGCATTTGTTTTGAAATTGCAGGTGGTTTGGTCAAGCCCAGGATGGGCAGAACTCACATCCAATCTGTCTGGGTGCTGTGTACTTGCTGGGATAGCTTGGACAGACTATATGATCTTTCTGTGTCCCATTTTCTCATCCATAAATGGGGAGAATATTAGTCCCAGTCTTACGGAGTTGTCAGAAGGACCCCCTTACAATAAGACACACAGAGTTCTGAGCACAGGGGCAGGCACACAGGGAGCACTAGCAAATGTCAGCTGTTGGTATTAGGAGAGCCCGGGGCTGCTAGGTGATGGGGACAATCTTCCTCTGGAAGCCAGTGGACACAGGGCAGAGGTGCAGTCAGATCTGCATTTCAGAAGGGTCCTCCAGCTGCTGCGTGGAAAGTGTCTAGGAGGGAAAGATTGGAGGCTACTCCAGAACCAGGTGGAGGGTCCACCTGGAGGGAGAAGCTGGAGGCTGGAGATGAGAGGACTGAAGGGGCCTGGGCAGTACACAGCAGTTACGAAGGTAGCTCTGGAGCCAGACAGCCTGGTAGGAATCCCAGCTTTGCCACTTACTCACTGTAGAATCTTGGCAGGCTCTAGAATCTTAACTCAGTTTCCTCATCTGTAAAGTGGGCATGGCAACAGCACCAGTGCTGTAGAGTTTCTGTGAATATGTATGAGTTAATCCACGAGAACTGCTCAGAACATCGTGAGTACTTCATTACCTTCAGATCAACCAGAATTATCATTCAATATAAAGTTAATGGATGAAAGACAAGGATGCCAATGCTGTTTTTGCCTGAGATAAAGAGATCTTAACGTGAGTCCCCTACCTTTGCAGCTAAGCTGTGTGGGAAGCCTTCGGCCAGGAGTTAGATGGTGTGGTAGGCGCCCCCTCCCCAGTAGGTTAATTCACTGCTGATCTTCTAACAGGCCAGCCCAGCCATCACTGATATCAGAGAAAACATGAGCTGCCCGCTTTGTATGGCTCACTGGTGGGGAACTGTAATCCACTCCGCAGCTGACAGACTCAAGGGGAAGAGAAAGACACAGGAGGGACACAAGTCCGCTTCCCTGACTTTTCCACTGAGCCTCCCTGGTTCAGGGGAGCCGACCTTGCCAGCCTCAAGCGAGGCACATGGGCCTGAGCTTATGCCTCGAATTGCTATGTGACCTCAGGAGATTTACTAAGCCTCTCTGAGCACCAGTTTTCTTGTCTATAAAGTGGGGCTAGTGATACCCACCTCTCACAGTTTGTGGGTAGGCTAAGTACAATACACAGGTCAAGGGCCTTGTATATAAAGCCCCTTGGATCTCACGGAGGGTGCAGCTGCCACTGAATTGAAGTTGCTCTAGAAATTGTAGTCATTAAGTGTAGGGGGTCAAACAGAGCAGGCCTTGCACCCCAGCTTCACTATTCGAGGTAGAACATGGGCAATTCACCAGACCAGAAGTGCCCGCTTCCCTGAAGGAATAAATGAGGTGATGAATTGAAGAGCTTAGAGCAGTAGGGATCTGATAAATGGCGGCTGGGATCACTATTAGGCATGCTCTGGTGGGGGAGCCTACTGCATGCTTTAACGGGGAGACCCTGCTCTGGCTACAGCGTGGGGTTCTGGGGCCCGTGGAGTGGAAGCTTCAAAACACTCTGAGCACCTGAGCAAACACGGCAGTTTGCAGGGATGGGGAAGTTGGAGGAAAAGAGGACAGCCTTTTCTGAGAGTAAATTGGTGTTGTCAGGTTACAAAGACCATGCTGGGCGAAGCATGAAGCCCCTGGCCAGGGTGGGGTGGAGTGTCTTAGAGGATCCAGTTGAAAGAACTGTACTGCGCCCCCATAAATCAAATATCGAGGCCCTGAGTCTTGATGTCTGATTTATAAAGCGCTGACTATGAAACAGACAACTTTTTTTTTTTGAGATGGAGTCTCACTGTGTTGCCCAGGCTGGAGTGCAGTGGCACAATCTCTGCTCACTGCAACCTCTTCCTCCTGGGTTCAAATGATTCTCCTGCCTCAGCTTCCTGAGTAGATGGGGCTACAGGTACATGCCACTCTTCCCAGCTAATTTTTGTATTTTTAATGGAGATGGGGTTTCACTATGTTGGTCAGGCTGGTCTCAAATTCCTGAACTCAAGTGATCTGTCCGCCTCAGCCTCTCAAAGTGCTGGGATTACAGGTGTAAGCCACCATGCCCTGCAAAACAGACAACTTTTAACAGAGTATTTATGAAGCATTAATTCATCTGCCAAGAATTTATGGAGGACCTGCGATGTGCTGGCCGGGGTTTTAGGAGCTAGTATACAGCAGAGAATAAGACAGGGTCTGTGTCCCCAAGGAGCTAACATTCTATTGGGGAGGCAATAACCACAACATACACACCACCAACAACAACCAAGCATCAGATAGATAGGAGACTATGAGGTGGGAGTGTTCTGATGCAAACAAAGGGTGATGTAAGAGAGAGACCAAGGAAGCCTCATTAGACATAGTGATCAGTAAATGCCTCTCTGCCAATGTGACAACTAATTTAATGACAAAGAAGGAACTAGTGATGTAGAAGTCTGAGGTCAAAATACTGCAGGCAGAAGAACAGAAAGTGCAAAGGCCCTGAGGTAGGAGCAAGCTTATTTGAGGAACAGAGTGACTATTTCAGAGAAAAAGACAAGACGTGGAACCAAATCCTGAAGACTCGCATAGCTAATTACCAAATAGTAGACTATTTTCATGGAAGAGGCACATGTTGCTGGGAGAATAGAAAGGAGGAGCAGCTCACCTAGCCTAGGCAATCAGGGAGAGCTGCCTGGGTGAAGTAATATCTAATCCAGGACCTAAATGACAGGTAACAGAATAGGAGATGAAGGGTTCTCCAGGCGGAGGGAACAGCATGTGCAAAGGCCTGGGGGTGGGTCAGAGCCTGATGCATTCATTAAGGGAATTGCAAGAAGCTGATGTGGTTGGAGCCCAGAGCTGAAGTGTGGGATTGTAGGAAAGGGACTGAGGGAGCCCTGACATTTAGGCAGAAGGGCCAGCCTGACCCCACCCAATGGGTGTGTTCACAGAATTGATATTGCCAAGACCGGCATTTCAGGGTAGGAAGGAGGAATCGGAGAAGGAACTGGAGGCAGGCAGGGAGGCCAGCAGGGAGAGGGAGTGAAGGTGGAGCCGTGGCCAAGGTCAGTGACAGTACCAGAGTGGGAGAGAAAAATTCCAAAGCCCTCACACAGCCGAAAGGACTGACATGGGACAGTCTGGGACACAGGGACAAAGACCTCAGAGAACTCAGAAAAGCATTTAGCCAAGTATCTTCTGGCTTGGCGGGTGGCCAAAGTGGGTTTTGAAGTCTGAAAGACCCAGAGCAAGTCGTGGCTTGTCCACTTCCTAGCTGTGTGCAACCACTTCCCAGCTCTGAGCCTCAGCTTCCCCATCTGTTGAATCAAACTAGCACAGCCCACATTGAAGAACTATTGTGCAGATTGAAAGTGAATGTGCAGGAAAGCTCTGGGTATACAGTGGGTGCTCATTCCCTTCCTTGACCCTTGGCTTTGGGCCTCTGCTTTACCTCCCTGGGCCTCTGTTTTCTTGACTGTAGAATGGGAATCAGAATGCTTTGCAGTGCTGTGGGCAGGAGTTAGAGATGACTTTGTGGGCTCAGAACACAGTCTACAGAGTGGTGATCACAGATTTCATTATCTTCTCTTTCTTCCTCCCCAGCAGGAATTGCTGAGACAGGATGGCCTGGCAGGGGCTGGTCCTGGCTGCCTGCCTCCTCATGTTCCCCTCCACCACAGCGGACTGCCTGTCGCGGTGCTCCTTGTGTGCTGTAAAGACCCAGGATGGTCCCAAACCTATCAATCCCCTGGTAGGTTTCAGGCAAGGTTCTTCAATGCCCAGGTCCTTGGACCTGTGCGAGGCAGCCCAGAGAGGGGAGGTTGCAGGCCTGGGCAGCTGTGTGCTGTCTTGTAGATCCATCCCACCTGTGCAGGGTGGTGGGTGTCCTGCCCTATAGATGGCCTGGACACCAGGGGCTGCTGTGTCCCCACTCCAGACCTCGCCATCATGGGTTCACTTAGGCCAGGACAAGAGACTCAGGTGTCCAGGGAGAGTGATGCCTGGCAACAGGGAGTGTCATTTCTGAGGTGGTGCTGACTTCGGCAGTCAGCAGCTCTAGATTGACTTTTCAGGGCTTCTTTTTCCTGGGCTGATGAGCACCTCCAAATCTAGACAGTTCCATGAGAGGAGCTGTCTCCAACACCCCTAAATGCAAAGATCTGGCTGACAGGATCAAAGCTTTGACCCTCTCCTGGGCCTTAGCACCTCTTGACCCTACCTTGTCGGCTTTCCTTTGAGTTAAGTTCCCCCACATGTCTCTCCCATGACAGCAGAAAGGCTGGAATAGAAGTACCAAGGGCATAGGGACAGAACACAGACTTTGATTCTGTCCCTTTCTAGCTCCATGACCTTGGAACTCCCTCTCTAAGCCTCGGTTTCTTCATCTGCAAAATGGAGGTGATTCCATGAGATAGTGAAAGAAGTTATTTAATTATTTATTTATTTTTCCGAGACAGGGTCTCACTCAGTAGCCCAGACTTGAGTGCAGTGGCATGATGTCGGCTCACTGAGACCTCTGCCTCCTGGGTTCAAATGATTCTCCTGCCTCAGCCTCCCGAGTGGCTGGGACTATGGGCACCCACCACCACACCCGGCTAATTTTTGTATTTTTAGTAGAGACGGGGTTTCACCATGCTGGCCAGGCTGGTGTTAGACTCTTGACCTCAAGTGATTTGCCCACCTCGGCCTTCCAAAGTGCTGGGATTACAGGCATGGGCTATCAAGCCCATGCCAGAAGTTATTATTTATTTATTTATTTATTTATTTATTTATTTTTGTTTGAGACAGAGTCTTGCTCTGTTGCCCAGGCTGGAGTGCAGTGGCACTATCACAGCTCACTGCAACTTCCGCCTCCTGGGTTCAAGTGATTCTTGTACATCAGCCTCCCGAGTAGCTGAGACTACAGGTGCACACCACCACACCCAGCTAATTTTTGTATTTTTAGTAGAGATGGGGTTTTGCCATGTCTGCCCGGCTGGTCTCAAACTCCTGGTTTCAAGTGATCCGCCAGCTTTGGTCTCCCAAAGTGCTGGGATTACAGGCATGAGCCACTGCACCTGACAAAAGAAGTTATTTAATACATAATTCTAGCCACTGAGAGATGCACACAATGGGCCAGGTCCTGCCCGTGCCCAATCTCAAAGAGCACCACGTTTAAGCATGAAGACTCATGGCACTGGACGGCCTGGGTTCAAGTTCCATATTCTTTGCTATTGTCATCGTCATTATGATTGAATGCTCCCAATGGCCCTATGAAGTGATGCCATTGCCCCCCACCCCAGGCCTGATGAACCCTCCTGTGTCCTCTCCTGTGTGTTCTCTGCCATGCTGCACTTCTCTGTCCCACTTTACCAAGAGTTAGCAGTGTGCTTCACACCTGCAGAAGCCTGGGAGAGAATTTGTATTTTTAGTGGAGATGGGGTTTCCTGTCTGGGAGTCAGACGTGGAGGGGGAAAGGTGAGCACGCAGAACACTACGGGAAGATCTTACTTCCAATTCTGGCAATTGCCACCTGCAGCCATGTGTCCTGGGTCTAAAGCCATTTCACCTCTCCAGGTCTGTCTTCTCTTTCTCACAGGCACAAAGTCCCCTACCTTTATGCACCACCAGTAGTATGAACATGGGTAGCCCAGGGCTTAGCAGTGGCGTTCATTTTGGTTTTCTCAGACACTGGACAGGGGAGCCTGGGGCAGACCAGTGCATGTGTTTTGATCATTTGCCACTGTGGTCTTTTTGGGTCTTTTGCAGATTTGCTCCCTGCAATGCCAGGCTGCCCTGCTGCCCTCTGAGGAATGGGAGAGATGCCAGAGCTTTCTGTCTTTTTTCACCCCCTCCACCCTTGGGCTCAATGACAAGGAGGACTTGGGGAGCAAGTCGGTTGGGGAAGGGCCCTACAGTGAGCTGGCCAAGCTCTCTGGGTCATTCCTGAAGGAGCTGGAGAAAAGCAAGTTTCTCCCAAGTATCTCAACAAAGGAGAACACTCTGAGCAAGAGCCTGGAGGAGAAGCTCAGGGGTCTCTCTGACGGGTTTAGGGAGGGAGCAGAGTCTGAGCTGATGAGGGATGCCCAGCTGAACGATGGTGCCATGGAGACTGGCACACTCTATCTCGCTGAGGAGGACCCCAAGGAGCAGGTCAAACGCTATGGGGGCTTTTTGCGCAAATACCCCAAGAGGAGCTCAGAGGTGGCTGGGGAGGGGGACGGGGATAGCATGGGCCATGAGGACCTGTACAAACGCTATGGGGGCTTCTTGCGGCGCATTCGTCCCAAGCTCAAGTGGGACAACCAGAAGCGCTATGGCGGTTTTCTCCGGCGCCAGTTCAAGGTGGTGACTCGGTCTCAGGAAGATCCGAATGCTTACTCTGGAGAGCTTTTTGATGCATAAGCACCTCTTTTCATGGAGTAGAGTCAGGAGAAACCCCTGACACCTTTTCAGGTTGGAGTGCATTCATTCATCCTCTTATATGTGCCCCTTCCCCATGCTCAGCTCAGCATTGTGTACAAAATATCCAAGCCCAGCCTATCTCTCTTCTGCGTGGGAGTATGTTATTTCTCTGGGGTCTGTGATGGGGAAGGGTGGATGTCCCTTCCCCACAATAGGCTTAGTGCTTGGCTCAGACACCTAGACTCTAAAACTATCAGCAGCGGCAGCAGCAGCAGCAGCAGCAGTTTGTGATCTGTCCTTCCAACCTGTTCACGTGACTCCTCAATTCCAGGGAACCAGAGCGATGTGTTCTTTGTACCTGTAGGTCTATGATGTCCAAACTTAACAGATCACATGCCCCTCTTAGAAGAAATATGAGCATGCTCCCTCATGCAGATAGTATACACATCATAAACAAAGAGTAGAACTTTAAAAGAAGGTAAATAATCATACACAGAAATCCTAACATTATATTCCCAAATCTCAAAAGATCTCCTGTGCACCTGACTTTGGAGACGATGCTTTAGGTAAAAAGCTTAAACATTGCCTTATATTGGATCAGGAACCCTTACAGTAGAGGGTCCAGTCTTCTAGTGGGTTTAATGTTTAGTCAGTGTACTCTGAGTCCTCATTGTTCAGAAAAGCACCTCTTGAAGAACTGACTTCCTGAACTCCCAGTCATGTTGGTACCCTGGACAGTGCCTAACTCCTTACAGAAGGGAGTGAAAACCTCTTTCGGAAATGATTGAGAGCAGCCTCTTGAATGCTTAAATGATCAAGGAGGGAGAAAGGCAAACCAATTTGTTCTGTGCAACAAACTCAAAATGTGGACCAGTTCCCTCAGCCCTCATTAAACTAATTAAACTGATGGGTATCATGCTTCTACTCCATGGTGAACTGAAGCAGAGTCAAGCTGATGAAGTTAAGCACAACCATGTTCTTGAGCAGCTGAATTGGCTGCCAAGAGTCCAAGCCATCTGGCCCAACATACGCACTGGGCATTGGGTAAGGGACTCCAGAAGCAGCAGCTAGAAAGAGAAAAAGCCCTCTTCAATCCCCATAATGCTTCTTTCCTCTTAATGTCTCAAAATAAAACCAGAAAGAGGAATAAAATGATTAAGTGCTTGAGGCCAAATGAGTTCCCTTGATTCAAATAACCCTGAATCAGAGGCAGAGACCTCCTGATGTCTTGGTTTCCATCAAAGCCCTCCCTGTCTGTCTGTCTCTCTTTTGCTCTCTCATTCCCAGGCACTCTCTTTTGGTTTGTGGGTCCAGGAGATGAGGCTGGATAGGAGAGGAAAAGGCTTGAGTCTGGATAATTTGTATAAGATGCTGCTGAGCACATCTCTTCATGCGCAGTCCCCAGGTATCTGATGATGTTCTGAAATGGATAGATTGTTTTAGAGTTATTTTGTGTCCTTTAAAAAAATCCCATTTATGCAATTTACTTGGAATTTGCTTAGCCTTTAATAGGCTTGTGTAATTTCCTGCTCCTCCAGTACAATAAATAAAAGAAAGATGCTGATGACTTGGTGGGTGTGTGTGTACGTGCACGTGCACATGTGTGTGAGCCTCAGTCCTCAGAGAGAAAAAAAATTTGCAGAAAAGAGTGCTAGGGAATAAAGAAGAGTTACACACACACACACACACACACACACACACATATTCAGGTTGGAAAACCAAGTGTGGGATAACAGAAAGAGCAAAAACTGTGAAGTGTCACAGCTTTAAATTGGAACATTGGATCTGTGCGACCTTGAGTAAGCCATTTGGCTTCTCTCAGCCTTAGTTCCTGCCTCCATAAAATAAAGACTAATAGTGCCAATTTTGTAGAGTTGCTGTGAGGATTAGAGGAGCTCATATATGCAAAGATCCTGGTACACAGTAGGTGCTCAGTAAATGAGTTTTTTTTCCTACATTGTCTTAAGGGATGGTGACAAAGCTTGAGCATTAAGCAACACAATGAGGAGAGTGGGGAGAGGTGCTGCAGAGGGAGTCTGCATCCCACATAATTCCCATGGGCTGTTTTCTATGCTAGATGACCAGGACAGGAGATAGAGACATGTTCCCAGACAAGGATGAGTGAGTTAGGGATGGAGGATGCTGTAGCCATGGGTGGCATAATGTCCTTTACTAAAATGACATTTTGCATTAAATGTTGTTGATGAGATGTCTTTAAATAGGATGAATGTGAGATTTAATGGCTACAGACCTCATGGGTTCCATTTGGACACTGGCTTTCTGAATGACTTCATAGAAAATGCAGAGTGAGGAAGGTCTCATACATTCTCTCATTCATTCAGCAAACTCTTAATTAAAGGTCTACTGTGTTTGGCAGGCCTTTTGCTAGGTGGTGGAAGTACAGAAAAATGAAATGGACAAGATCTCTGCTGTTATGGAACTAACAGTCTAGTAGAGGAGACAAACACATAGACAAAAATATAAGTCAATCATTAAAAATAATGGTAATTGTTGGGAAATAGTTGGGATGTGGAGATAAAGGATAACAAGGGTAGGGGAGAAACCTCCCTAGGGTATTTAGGAAATCCTTCTCTGAGGACTGTGTCATTCATGATATTCATAGGATCATCAAAATGGAAGGAACCTAAGGCTTGGGTTCATCTTATCCATCCACCTACCCTGTGCCAAAATTGACACATTGATAGGAAACTTTAATCTGCTTGAATACTTTTGTTGACTAGGATTCCACAACATATTCCTATTCCTCAATGATTCAGTGTTGGAAAGTTCCATCTTTATGTCAGGTTGAAGTTCAGGTTTCTGTTATTTTTACCCACTGAGTCCCGATCCTGTTGTCACTAGCCTGGGAGATTCTCCAGGGAAGAACTGTCTACCACTTGAAAACAAATGACTCCTAACTCTCTCAAATGGGTTAAACAAATAAACTACAACAACAAAATCCAAGTAATTTGTTGGTTCACATAAATAAAAATTCCAGGGATATTTAGCTTCAGGTAGAGTTTGATCAAGGGACTCAATAAGGATAACATGATCTCTGCATCCCTAGGCTCTCTTCTCCTCTGTATTGTGTTCATTCTAAGGCTCTACGTGCTTTTAAGATGACTGGCAGAAGCTCTGGGTTATACCCACATGCTATTTTCACCAATCTCAATCAAAGTTTCATGACATCTTATTGGCTTTAATTGGGTCATGTGTCCTATCCTGAGCTCATGCCAGTCACTGTGGACAGATGGATGTGATGCTCTGTTTGATTAGAACCGAATCACATGGACATCACTGGAGCCAGGGATGGATTCAACCCCACTCGAAATAGTGGGGAAGGAAGTGGGTGGTTCTCAAGAAGAAAATGGAGCATGGATCCCAGTAGGAGAGCAAGTGAATGCTAGACCTCCTAGGGTATAGAGTAGGAATATGTTATGGAATCCAAGTCAACAAAAGTGTTCCAGCAGATTAAAGTTTATTATCAATGCATCAATTCTGACACAGCGTAGGTGGATGCCAGTGAGTAAGGGGAGCTGGTGGGGGTTGGGGCCAACTGGAGAGTATACGCTGTGGGAAATGTGGCCCTAGAATGGCAAAACCTTCTCTGATTTCCAAGAGACTGCAGAGATTGCTCAATATGCATGTGACATCTCTGTTTTTCAATCTCTAGGCAGGTAATTTTTTTAAAGTACTGAGTAAGACAAACAATACCATGTTTAGGATAAGACACATCACCCTCTCACCACTATTTTGTGAGTTCTTTCTAAATCTTTTTTTTATGAGAAATACTTTTTTTTCATTTTTAGTACTTTTCCCCTTATGCTATGGACTGCAGAACACTGTTGTTCTGGACTTTCTTTTCTGGACCGATTTCACGTGGTCATAAGAAGGAAAAAGCATGGTAGGAGCCACAGAGAACTGGCTTCAGATTCTGCTTCCCTGGGTGACTCTGAACAAGTCCCTGAATGCCACTGTGCCTCAGTTTCCAGTCTGTCAAATGGAGAGAAAAATAATGATTTCACTGGGTTCAGTAATATATTCAGTAATATGAAGTGCACCTGATACATAAGAGGTTTATGATTCCTAACTATCTCAAATGGGTTAAACAAATAAACAACAACAAAAAAAAGCCCAAGTAATTTGTTGGTTCACATAAATGAAAAACCGAGGGATATTTAGCTTCAGGTAGAGTTTGATCAAAGGACTCAATAAGGATATCACGATCTCTGCATCACTAGGCTCTCTTCTGCTCTGTGTTGGGTTCATTCTAAGGCTCTATGTGCTTTTAAGATGACTGGTAGAAGCTTTGGGTTATACCTGCATGCTATTTTCACATTGTTGCTTCTTCTTAAAGGGGTGTGCCTCTGATTATGGTATTTCTGATGTCACCTGAGTGAGGCACACACCTGTTGAAAAGACAAAACTATGCTGGTGGTAAGAAAAGGGTGAAATTAATTTTTTTAATAGAGCTGTAACATATGTGCTATAAAAGTGTGCTTAAGTGTGTCATTCAATGGAGCCTCACATTTGCATACACCTGTGTGGTCACCACTCAGATCACACCATAGAACATTTCCAGCACCCAGAGGGCTCAAGGAGATCATTTTAATAGGCTGTTTGTGGGGGATGTGGAGCAAGCCAGAGTTAGATTTGGAATAAAAACATTGAAGGCCTTGCGGATTACTGGTTCTTTGTCCATGCTACAAAGGCCACTGTGCAGTGATCACAGAGCAGGCATTGGTTAAGGGATTCCAACATCCCGGTAACCTTAAAAGAGCACGTTACTAATAAGCGCACGGTTTCCACGACAACGCCGTACACCATCACTAGTGAGGAAAGTCTTGTCATAATGATCACGACAATCATTATGATCCCTCAGATTTGGATCACCCCGCCCCCACCCCCAGCTCCAAGCCCTTCACACAAATGAGCCCAGCCATGGGGCTTGTCTGTTAATTAAAGGCCCCAAAGTGAAAACAACAAAAATCCCCACGACAGTGTCAGGAACAATGGTTCCCTAATAGATGTCATCTCAGCATTCTTGATTCATGTGCTGGCTACATGTCGCCTCCCGTTAGCTATGCAGATTTATAACAAAGATTTATAATCAGCCTTCTAATATGTAAATCTGCATCTATGTTGCATTCCCTCATGATTTGTCTCGTCTCTGTCTAACTTACACCAAGCCCCATTATTCTTTGTTCCCAGGGCTCCCCTCATCCTTCATCACCTTTGACATGAAGTGTGCCTTCTGAAAATGTGCATCTGTCTCACTCTTAAATCCCAGTTACACCTGGTGAGCTCCTACAGGCCTGTCCTCAGGTTTAGGAAATCAGAAAGGGCTTTCTGGTTCTTGGTAAGATCCATGCTCTGTCTGGACTTGAAGAAGGAGCACTGGAGTGAGAGTCTCACCTGGGGATGTGAGGATGGTCCCAGCTCTGCTAACCAGTCACTGGAGGTGGGCTGTGGCCTCCCCCAAAGAGTTTTCTCTTTGGTAGAGAAAATGATGGTGAAATATGGTAATGTCTTTCGTCCTTTCAGGAGCTGACACATAACACCTGCTCTGTACCTGTCAGTCAACTAATCAACAAGGCCTCAGTTGCCTCATCCAAAATGGGGGTGATGGTTTCTGCCCTGATGAATAGAGGGAGGTCATGTGATAAGACACAGGGACAGTGTCTGACCCAAAGTTGTTGCATAGTCAGGGTTAATGCCCTCCCCTCCCATATTCCTCCAATCTTTGATGAACATTTACTAAGCCACCGTTGTGTGCCCTGCGCTGGGCTAGTGGTGGGAGATTCAGCAGTGATTAAGCAAAGTTGGTACTTCCTGGGGCTCACTTTCTAACAAGGGAGACCAGTCGCCTACAAATGAACAAGGGTCTCCAGGTTGCAGGCGCTTGCTAGTGCTGTGAAGGAAAATACAGGGTGAGGGATGCAAGTGACAGGGGCAGGGAGGCTGTCACTCAGAGAGGGCACAAAGGCTCTCTGGCAGGTGACATTCGACCAGAGATGTGCAGCAGGTAAGCCTGTGGGTGTCTGGGCGAGGGAGTGAGGGAAATAGCCTCCCGGGAAGAGGGAACAGCAAATGCAAAGGCCTTGAGAAGGATTTGTGGCTGTTTCTGTACTGAAGAGTAAGAAGCTAAGGCAACAAGTAAGAGCAGAGGGCGAGAATCAGGGTGCCGAAGTGGAAGAGACCAGATGGTGGAGGGCGTCCCGCACCTTGCGCTGTCCCAGTTTACACTGTCACTCCGTGTGACTGTGGAGCTGCTTTTACTCTCAAAGTATCCTGGTTTGGATAATGTATAGTATTGATGCCTCACTTATGGGCCATGGATGTTGACTTTTGACCCATGGTGAGATGGGAGCCACTGGAGGATTTTCAGCACAGGAGGGGCATGATCTGACCCAGATTTAAAGGGACTGTGCTGGCTGTTGTATAAAGAGCAGGCTGCAGGGAGCACAAGGGAACGTTCTGCGTCCCTGTCAGCGAATGGCACTCTCCAAAGTGAACATGAGAGACGGAGGTACCAGGAGGAGTGACATGGGAGCTTTTCTTTCTTGAGATCAAAGCCCCAGTCACAGTGTTCTCTCCTTAATACACAGCCACAGGCATCAGGACTCTCAGACACTGCCAGTGGTAGTGGTGGATGGCATTTAAGAAACTACCAGCCTGGAGCCCTCCTCTCCCCACTCCCGTCTCAGCCTTGAAAAATGCAGCCTCATAGTTTGAGCTTTCGGGGAGAAAAATCTCTGAATTGGGGCTTGCTTTACATAAAAGACAGATCATTGGAAAGTGTATAAATCAAAGTTTGGCAAATCGAATTGTATTTTAATCCACTGGGGAATGTTGCTATTCAAGGTCCTCACTGATTTTACAGATTGCAACAGTATCTGTTGTCCATTTAGGAACATTGGTAAAACCCAGAAATGCATCAAGAAGTTTCCCATGAAATTGATCAACAGTCAGAGGTTCAGATAAGATCATTTATGGAGCCCCTGCCCGGGCCAAGGCACAGTAAGGATTAACGCATTAATGGGGATAAATTGGAGATGAGCGCATGACCTCTGTGCTCAAGGAGTTTGCGTTCAGCAGGAAAGACCTCGCAGAGCAAATAACTATGGAAAATAAAAAGAGTTACTTTGGGAAGACTGAACAGCAAAGGTTGATGCAGGTGTCAGGAGCAGAGACCTGGCCTGGCAAGGGCTGAGGATTCCTGAGGAGGTGACTGAGACCTGCGGAGGGGCAGGACAGAGCTGGTGTGAGTAGCTGTGAGCGCAGGGAGGGCTTTGGTGGCTGGGCAGAGACACAGCAGGGAGCTTGATCACACAAGACCT
Source organism: Homo sapiens (assembly GCF_000001405.40). Taxonomy (NCBI): domain Eukaryota; kingdom Metazoa; phylum Chordata; class Mammalia; order Primates; family Hominidae; genus Homo; species Homo sapiens. Next base: position 1,972,982 of record NC_000020.11, on the reverse strand, counting down.
CTAGGCCGTGGTCATGATGTGTGGACTCTGTCTCAGGAACAAAAGAAGGATGTGGAGAAGTTCAAGAGAGGTGGCATGGTCAGGTGTGTCGAATAAGAGTTTTCTAGAACAAGCTGAGGTATACGCATTTATACATACGTCTCCAACAAAGAAAATAAATATCATCCTTGATCTCACCTCTCAGAGTTAGCTATGATTAATATTTTAACATATATTCTCCCAGGGTGGTTCTTCGGTGTGTCTCCGAACACTGGATGATATGCCTTTCTTGTTTAACATTATAATGTCTTAAGCATTTTTATGCAATCATTATAAGTGTCAATTATAAATCTGCATAATCACAATAGTTTACAAACTGTATATACCATGGTTTACTTCAGCATTTCCTAATGAACATGGTAGTTTGCCTAGAATGTTCCAAGGTTGTGCCTTTCCTCTGGTGTCATTATTAATAGCACCTCATTCACTTTTGGAAGAGTTCTGGATGAAAAATTATATGGTCACCCTTCCTATGGGATAAACATTTGAGTTGCTTTCATTGTTATTATTATTATTATTGCATCATAAATAACCCTGTGATAAATATATTTCAGCTTGAAAACCAAATCATCACGTCATTGCTCCAAAGACTCTTAGAATTCATGTCGTGTTTCTTAAACTTCAGACATCCACATGCAATCTGTCACAGCCGACACTATCTTTTAACATTTTTCTTTAATTCGACTTACTTTTTTAAAACCATGAATGAGCTGATTTAAGAAGGAAGCTTAATGTTATTACCATGAATGGAAAACCAGTATTATATTCCATTAATAGAAGTGGCATAACAATGAATTCAAGCAACAATTCAAGGAACAATACCATGAGGAACCAGCTCTAAGCCGAAGTCTGAAGTCTGGTAGGGACAGGACAAAAGGAAGCTTTGCAAGCATTAGAGGGGTGTTAAAGACTTACTAGTCTCAGATGGAGCCTTTATCTTTAATAGAATTGGAAGGCTTTAAAGAGCATTGAAAACTTCCTCCCTCTGGGGTCCCAGGTGGCAGGTCTGCACCCAACATCACCCAAGGGAGTTGTATGTGTTAACAGCTAAGGTAGCCTCAGATCAGGACAGCCTTTATGCAGCACGGTAATGGGCTTGGAATTTACTCCTGCATTTTAAGCATAAGAGTGGCACAGTTATACCCCCTTACCACATAATAAAAGCTGCCCAGGCGCCAAGCCCTGGGCTATCAATTGATGCACCAAGTCACTCTCTAGGAGATGAGACAGGAATAAGCAAAGAAAACCCCACTGTAAGTGTATATACATTAAGGGCTGTAAGAGCTTTAATTTTTTTTTTTTTAATTAATAGGCCAGGCGCAGTGGCTCACGCCTGTTATCCCAGCACTTTGGGAGGCTGAGGTGGGCAGATCACTTGAGGTCAGGAGTTCGAAACCAGCCTGGCCAACATGGTGAAACCCCATCTCTACTAAAAGTACAAAAATTTACCCGGGGGTGGTGGCGGGCGCCTGTAATCCCAGCTACTTGGGAGGCTGAGGCAGGAGAATTGCTTGAATCCAAGAGGCAGAGGTTGGAGTGAGCCGAGATCGTGCCACTGCACTCCAGCCTGGGTGACAAGAGTGAGACTCTGTCTCAAAAAAATAAAATTAAAATAAAATAATAAAACAAAAGACTTCATTTTTTTTTCGAGACTGACTCTCACTCTGTCACTCAGCCTAGAGTGCATTGGCATGATCTTGGCTCACTGCAACCTCCTCCTCCCAGGTTCAAGCGATTCTTCTACCTCAGCCTCCCAAGTAGTTGGGATTATAGGTGCAAGCCACCATGCCCGGCTAATTTTGTATTTTTAGTAGAGATGGGGTTTCACCATGTTGGCCAGGCTGGTCTTGAACTCCTGACTTCAGGTGATCCACCCGCCTCAGCCTCCCAAAGTGCTCACAGGCGTGAGCCACTGCACCCGGCCCATTTTTTAGTTCTGTGTTTACAGAAAACTCGAATGAAAGTTCAGCGAATCCCCGTACATCTCTTCACCTCCCCCCAACACCTGCAGTTTTCCTTGTTATTAACATCTCGCATTAGTGTGAAACATTTGTTACAATTGATGAGCCAATATTGATGCACTGTTACTGGAGTTCACTCTTTGTCCCGTATATTCTATGGGTTTTGAGAAAAACCCGTAATGACATGTATCTACCTTTACAGTAACACAGAGAATAATATTAAAATACTAGTCCCACTAATATATAATATATAAATATGCTTTTATATATAATATCTAATATATAAATAAAAGTCCCACTGTCCTAAAAATCCTCTGTGTTTTGCCTATTCATCCCTCCTTCTCAAAACCCTTGGAAACCACTGATCTTTGTACTCTCGTAGTTTTGCGTTTTCCACGATGTCTTATAGTTGGAGTCACGTAGTGTGTAGCATTTTCAGATTGGCTTCTTTCACTTAGCAATATGAATTTAAGTTCCTCCATGTCTTTTTGTGGCTTCATAGCTCATTTCTTTTTAGCGCTGAATAATATTCTGTTGAGGGACGTTGCACAGTTCATCCATTCACCTCCTGAAGGACATCTTGGTTGCTTCCAAGTTTGGGCAATTATGAAGCATGCTGCTATAAACATTCATGTGTGGGTTTTTGTGTGGACATAAGTTTTCAGCTAAGAACTATTTATTAAAGTTATAATTTCATTGTGATGCTATTATTACTGTTGATGGGATTGGCTGCTCTTCTGATGATATAGTCAGGGAAAACTCTGGGGAGACGACATTTAAAATAAGACCTAGCCGGGTGCCGTGGCTCATGCCTGTAATGTTAACACTTTGGGAGGCCGATGTGGGCGGGTCACGAGGTCAGGAGATCAAGACCATCCCGGCTAACACGGTGAAACCCCATCTCTGCTAAAAGTACAAAAAATTAGCTGCGCGTGGTGGTAGCAGGCTCCCAGCTACTTGGGAGGCTGAGGCAGAAGAACTGTTTGAACCCGGGAGGCAGAGGTTGCAGCGAGCCAAGATCGCGCTGCTGCACTCCAGCCTGGGTGACAGAGCGAGACTCTGTCTCAAAATAAATACATAAATAAAATAAAATAAACTAAGACCTGAAGAATGGGGAAGGAGCGGCCATGAAAGAGCTGAGGGGAGGGCACCCCAGGCAGAGAGAAGAGCAAGAGCAAGGGCCCAGAGGTGGGAGCACTGCTGGCCCAAGGACCCTCAGAAGGTCAGTGAGGCTGGTGAGGACTGCAGGAGGTGAGAGCCGGGCAGGCCCTAAGGCCACAGTGAGCGTCTAAGATTTTGTTGCCAATGTTCCAGGAAGACATTTGGGGCCTTGGCGGGAGTGAGGGGGCTGAGAACTGCAAGGCGTTTGTAGACAGAGTCTCAGAGACCTCCCAACAACCCTGTTAGGTTGGTAAGCTCTCTCCGTCTTGCAGATAAGAAAACAGAGGCTTGGAGAAGAAGAAGCCTCTCATTCTGTATCTAACTTGACTTAAGGGATGTTACAGCTCAGAGCCCAGAAAGGGAGAGATGCAGAATCCAAAAGGAAGCCTCTAAGTATCTATCTGAATTGCAGCCTGAGCAGACAGCAAGGGCAAGAAACAGCTTCAGAATTCAATTCAGCAATAAGGAGATTAGCAAAGGAAGCCAGCTTTAACCTCCTGGGCAGGAGGAGGGCAAGGCGGGGAGTGCCGGGGGTGCTGGGGGGAGGTGGAGGGAACTCTGGTCTCAGATCAGACAGAAGAATTAGGTAATGGTATGGCCAGAATCTAATTGCCCACAAGATACCAACCTCTTTAGAGGATATGGAGTCCCTTGTTGTCATAGCAACCGATTGGAAAAAAAAAAGGGCTCAGCACATCCATCAGCAGCAAGAGAGAATCACCCTGGCCACTGAGGTATCACATCAAAGCAAAAATCTCTGGTCCAGAGGTGCATGTGTGCATCAGGATTCCGTTCACCCAAGACCAAAAACCATCATGCCTTAAACAAGATCAAAGTTTCTTTCTCATGAAAAAGTCAGAGGTGGGCAGCCCAGGGCTGGATTTTATTTAGCTTTCACTGCATCAACAAACCACCCTAAAACTTGGTGGCTGAAAACAACAATTTACACTTCATGTTTTGCACATTGGTGAACTTCCCCTGTGGGTTTCTCCTGGGCTCCCTTCTGAAACTGCAGGCAACTGGAAGGTGGCCTGGGCAGAAGGGTCCTACATGGGCTCACTCCAGTGCCAGCAGCTGGTGCTCCTGGCTGGAGACCCTCATCTTCTGGGAGGCTAGGCTGTCTTTCTCACATGGGAGTGTCAGGCCCCAAAAGTCACCCAATGCCAATTTTGCCACACGGAGGTGGGAGCACAGTGCTGGGTTGATTCAGGGACACATCCAATTCAAGGGAGGGAAACAGACTTTATCTCTTGATGGGAAGAGGGCAAAGTCACATTGCCAAGAAGCACTGGGATGGGAGGGATCTTCCCAAACAATCTCTCACAGGTTGAAGTGGACATGCTGTTCATGAAGTTGTCAGAATCCCAAGATTCTTCTATAGCACATCACACCACCAGCCCTAAAGGGGGACCCTGGACCTCCAGGTCCAAGACAGTGACTGGAATCTGACCACTCCACCTGTGTTAGGCTGTTCTTGCATTGCTACAAAGAATACCTGATACTGGGTAATTTATAAAGAAAGCAGTTTAATTGGCTTATGGTTCTGCGGGCCGTACAGGAAGCATAGTGCTGGCATCAGCTCGGCTTCTAGGGAGGCCTCAGGAAGCTTACAATCCTGGTGGAACGTGAAAGAGGAGCAGGCACGTCACATAATGAAAGCAGGAGCAAGAGAGAGAGAGACAGGGGTCGAGGGAGGTGCCACACACACTTTTCAATGACCAGATCTCCTGTGAACTCAGAGCGAGAGCTCGCTCACCACCAAGGGGATGGCCCAAGACACACACAAGGGATCCGCCCTTATGATCCAAACACCTCCCACCAGGCCCCATCTCCAGCATTGGGGATTACAACTCAACATGAAATGTGGACAGGGGCAAATATCCAAACTATATCAACATCTATGGTCCAGGTGGCAAGATGGAGGAACAAATAAAAAAGAGGGGGAAAGGACATACGCGTCAGCTGTCCTTTCTGGAAGTTGCTATGTAACATTTCTGCTTATCTCACTGGCCAGATCTGAGTCACATGGCCACACTCAGATACAAGGAGGCTGGGAAATGCCATCTTTATTCTAGGTAGCCAATTGGCCCATTTAGAGTCTGAGGTTCTATTTCTAAGGAGGCAGGGGAGCACGGATATTAGAGATCCAGCAGTTTCTGCCACAATATGAAACCTTTGCCCCTGAGGTAGTACAATGTACTGAAAGATGTCACCCCAATTACCTTAAAATGGGGAACTTTTCCATCACTGGGCAGATATCTTTTAACCCCACAAAGGTTTAGAAGTCAAGCCTATATTATTGTGTAGTTGGTATTTAAAGTATTCACAACTTTGAAGAGGTTTTTTTTGCATATTAGAGTATGAACAAATTAGCCTTGTGACTCCTATTTAAAATATGTAATTGAGTTTAGACTTGTGATTCTTCCGTTGAGAAGCACATGAATCTTTTTATACTAAATTTATAAATGACTCCAGAATGTATAAGAGATCTTGAGATTCACTGTTGTATAAGTTTTTAAATTAGATTTTCCAAAGTGGTTTAAGTACTTTGGAAAGTTTTGCTTGTCAGGTCAGGCAATGAAAGTGTTTAAAAAAGGAAATTGAATACGTTAAATTAGTAAGTCCTGTGTAAAATGTTGAAGATAATTTAATTAACCAAGTTTGCAAATGGTATGAATCATTTAACCGAGTATGAGTCGATTGACCATTAATCAAAAGCCCCTTGAAACTGACTGCATAGAAATCGAATAATAAGTTTTGTAAATTGAACTTAAAGGCTTAAGAATGACTAGGGTTTTTTTTTTAAGCTACTGTATTACATTGAATATTAAGTAACAAGTACTTGCAAGAAACCTTTTCTGCATCCAAAAAATCCCTTCCACACTGACATTCCCGGATTCACTCAAGAGCTAAGTTGGGGTTTTAGGGTAACCCCCAAAGTCCTTGCTTGTCTGCTAACTACACAGTAACTGCCAGTCTGGGTAGGGAACATTAAGGGTATGGAATCGGCAGGACAAGGCACCTGACTGGATTGGGAGAGAGAAAGAGGAAAAGCGTCGAGAATGAGCTTGGTTCAGTTTGGGCACAGGTGAGTATGCAGAGAGCACCAGCAGGCCTTGGGAACTCCTAAAGCATCCCCACCATATCATCTCATCATCTCTCTCATCTCAACCTCCCAAGGTTACACATTGATCTTCACTGGAGATTTTCTTTTGGAGAAGGAGGTCCTAGCACACTCTCATGAAAGAGTTGGGGCTGACACTGAGGAGCCCTGGGGAGCCCTGGAAGAGAGGGTGTCTCTGAGAGCCACCTCCATGCTCTCTGCCTAAGGGACGGATCCTCAACGTAACCACAATCTGAAAACAATCATTGCTGACATTTGGGGTGGATGCTATGGGAGCCACATCTAGGCCCCTGATTCTGGCTGTCATACCCCTCCCCACTCCAGATCTAGGGGCATAAAAGACCAGTCACTCACCTCGTGGTAGTGCAGCTCCCACTCCAGAGCTCCCCTAGGAGCAGGCTGAAGCTAGTGCACAGCTGAGACCACTTTCTTGCTTGGCAGCATGCTGCAGAATGCTCTGCTGGCTGCCAGGGAAACTGGTCTGAGGGTCAGGCTCCCTCCTTCACCCTCAGCTTCCTTCCCTTCTTGGACAGCCACCTCTGCAGGCCCTCAGTGTTTGTGGAGTGAATAACTTGGGTTACATAAAGCCCTGGCACACAGTAGGCCCTCAGTGCAGTCCCCATTGACTTCCCAGAGGTCCAGAGTTTTCACAGAGATCCCGGGACGTCTCACAGGACATCTTGTTCCTCGGTAGTGACCTTGCTCTAGCCTTCAGGGCTGCACCTGGACTTCAGGGAGTCTTAATGGGGCAGGAGACCCCCCGGCCCCGCCCTCTGGGCAGGTGCGCGAAGATGATGCACGCACAGGAGGTGGCGGCCGCGAGGTGGGTGGGCGGCAGCCGCGTGTCTCTGATCTGGGAGCGCCCCCTCGTGGCGAGATGAGCCATGCACGTTGAGGGAGGATTTCCCCACCGTCCACGTGGTCTTAAGGGTTCAAACTCAAGGAGACAAAAGGAGAGACGCTCAGGGGATCATCTAATATAAACGGGCGGTCGTCAGCATTAAGATAAGAAGTCTTGGTGCTTCCTATTAAAATAAGTTGTTCTGCAGTGCGGTCTTTCCTCTTAGCCTGCAAATGATTAGGCAATTTCCTCACTGCAAAGAAAGGGAAATCCTGTTTGCCCCAGCTCTCATCGGAACCAGTGGAGAGTGAGCTTGGATAGTGGCGTTCAGAAATTTAAACCTCACTCGAGTAGAAAGCACTTTTGCTTCCTCCACCCATCCCATGTTTTCTCCATTTAAAATTAAAAACGAAGATAAAAACAGGCCGGAAGTATTTTGTCTACCCAGCTCTGCCTGAAGCTCTGGGGGAAATTTTCAGTAATGATGATGATGATGATCAAAGCAAAAATAGTAAACTATAAATGTGGAGAGCTCTCAACTAAGGTGGGAACGTCTGAGAGGAAGAGCTTTTCATGAGCCTAGAACTCTTAAAGAAAACGTTATTCGTGGCACTCGCTGAAGGTGGTGAGGCCAATTCAAGGTCCCCTGGCGATGGGTATAGGGATCGCTGCAGTGGGGTCTCATAGTGGGAAGAGAGATGGGGCTCAGTTCTGACTCCAACAGGGACAAGTGAGAATTTATAACCAAGGAGCAGAGCGGGGGTCCACGGATGGAAAATTACTAAGAGGAAACCTCAGGGATTTTCTGGCTAAACTAACGTGAGAGGATTATTGCTGAAGGCAGGCCAAGCTGATCAGATATCCACAATGGTCGGACACCAAGAGTGGGGATTTTTGCTAAACTGATTTAGCAGGATTCTTGCTCCAGCTGGAGTCTACAAGGACAGAGAGGCTGCCTAGTCAAGTGGAGGACTCAGAGGAGACAGACTAGTTTGTGTCAAAGGAGAGAGTCTTTGTCTCCTTTGACCAAACCCCGGGAGGTGCTATGCGTGAAATTCAGCTGCTCAGATGTGCAAATGAGAAAGTGCGCTTCTGTAAGAGAAGAGACATAGTATGGGCTTTATAATTTTAAAAAAACCCAGGAGGGATTTCAGGTAGTACGAAAAGAATGGGGGGACTGGAGTGAATGAATACTTGTCGAGCCCTTATTTTTTCCATGTGGCTCTTATTATTCTGTCAGGGACATTGAAACAGGAGTGACTCCATCTTGAATAGGGGCTGGGTAAAATAAGGCTGAGACCTAATGGGCTGCATTCCCAGGAGGTCAGACAATCTTAGTCACAGGATGAGATAGAAGGTTGGCAGGACTAGTATCACAAGATACAGGTCACAAAGACCCTGCTGATAAAACGGGATGTGGTTAAAACAAAAAAAAAAGAGCCAAAACCCACTGAAACCAAGATGGTGATGAAAGTGACCTCTGGTCATCCTCACTGCTCATTATGCGCTAATTATAATGCATTAACATGCTAAAAGACACTCCCACCAGCACCCATGACAATTTACAAATGTCATGGTAATGTCAGGAAGTTACCCTATATGGTCTAAAGCAGGGAGGAACCCTCAGTTCTGGAAATTGCCCACCCCTTTCCTGGAGCACTCATGAATAATCCACCCCTTGTTCAGCAGGTAATCAAGAAATAACTGTAAGTATACTCAGTTGAGCAACCCACGCCACTGCTCTGTGTGTGCTTTACTTTCCTAATAAACTCGCTTCCACTTTATGAACTTCCTCTGAATTCTTTCCTGTGCGAGGTCCAAGAACCCCCTCTTGAGGTCTAGATCAGGACCCCTTTCTGGTAACAATCACATCTTTACCTTAGCCTTGACAAATAAAGGCAATTTTTCCATTTTACAGATAGAGAAACAGGCTCAGAGAAGAAAGGGGCTGAGCTCAAAGTGACATCATTGAAAAGCAAAGGGCTAGGATTAAAAACCAGGCTCCTAATATCAACCTCAGTGTTTGCCACAGCACTGGGTCAACGGATCTACCGACACTCGTTCATCCATTGATTTATTCATCAAATGTTTATTGAATACCTACTATGCACCAGATACAGTTATAAGCACTGGGGATACAGCCACGTCCACAACTGGCTGAAGAAATTAGGGCTACAAATATTGCTGGGTGGGGAGGCTCAGATGACCAATGATATTTCTTTACTAACTACTTTCGTTTATCAGCTCATTCACCAATCCATTTATTTTTTATTTTATTTTATGCAAAGTGTTTACTGACTTATTTATTCATCCATTCTCTCAGTCACTTATTTTCTTATTTACTTATTCATTCATCCACTCAAACATTGATTCACTTGTTCATTCATTCTTTTGATCATTTATTTATTTATTCACCTGCTCATTATTTGCTCATTCTACTACTCCATCAATCATTTACTCATTCCTTCACTAATTCATACTCTCATGTGTCTGTAAATCTCTCCATCCATCCATCCTTCATTCCTCCTATACATCCATCAATCTCTCATAAATCCATCCATTCCCCTGTCCACCCATATCTCCCTGTCTTCTTTCTTTCCTTCCATTTCTCCCTCCCTCCTTCTTTTCTCCGTCCCTTCCTTCTTTCTTTCCATCTATGGTTCCTCCAGTCACTCCTCCATCAATCCCTCCCTTCTTCCCTCTATCCACCCCTACATTGCCTGTCCATTCTTTCAGGCCTCATGCTGACCCTGAAAATTAAGAAATAATACAACCCATTTCAACCTCCAAGGCACTTACCATCTAGTAGTGGTCAGTGACAAGAAGAAAGGGCACCATATCACTGTGATTAGAAATGAGACAAGAAGCTAGGGGAGGGTGGCAGAGAGGAACCCTAAGTCACCTGAGGGCTGGGAAATCCAGGCTGAGTCCTAAAGGAAAAGTCAGCCGCATTGAGCAGGATGGAGGCAGTGGGAGTTTCAGGCAGAGGGAATCGCATATATACACGCTTGGAGGCAGAGCGGGCACAGCGTGATTGGGGACGGGCAAGTGTGGCTGGATCTTAGGAAGGGCAGGGAGGCAGTGGAGAGATCACACCCACTACTCTCCCAGGCATTGCTTCCTGAGATTCTTAGCTTTGTGTATTGTGAGGATGGCCACATTTGGTGCTCGGTCTACCCTAGTCCCCCTCTGGCCTCCTCCATCAGCTTGACAGGGCAGTCCTATAGGATTGCAAGAAATCCAGGCTACCCATAGTGTCGTCGGTAACAGGGCTCACCTTTCCTCATCACTGTCAGAGCCAGCAGTGAAGAGAACACTGCCCAACCCCCCCAGGCTTCCCCTTTGTCTGTGGTGATACCCTGGGCTGTGATACCCCCACAGAAACATCTTCTAGATCAGCTCTAGCACAGACCTCCCCAGCTTCCACGCCTCCCCCATGTCTGATAGGTCTCCAGGCCCTGCCCCTTTCACCTCTTCATCACCTCCTCCTTGTCAGCCAGACAGATATTTACCTAACTCTGACCCCCATTAGGCCAGCCTCTCCCTACCAGCCCTGTCTCTCACTTCTCTTCCTCTAGCGGCTTCCCCCAGACCCCACATGCCCATTCCTCTGCCTCCAGAGTAGCCTCTCTGAAGCTCCAATATCCTCATGCCATCCACCTGCATAAAATCCTTTAAGGATACCTTGTTCCAGGCCAGGGAGTCAAGTCCAAACTCCCTGGCCAGGCATACAGATTCTTTATCATCTGGCACATGCTATTTCTCCAGGCTTGTCTGGCTCTTACATCCTCACGTGTACTATCCTTGCAGACCAGAGCCCCAGACATTCCCAACACATCCCACTTCTACTCACTTTTGCCACCTTGTAACTGTTGGAACTTTGCCTGTGGTGGCCTTCCCTGCCTTGTCCCCCGAGAAGACTCTTGCTCATCCTTCCAAACCTGGTTGGGTGCATCCATCAGACCTTGTCAGGATTGCTATTTTACCAGTCATCATATTTCATTGCATATCTGTCTGTCTCCCTTCACTAGACCGCAAGCCCCTGGGAGACACAAGCCTTTTCACAGTCTTCACTGCTTTCTCAGTGTCTAAAACAGTGCCTGACACACAGAAGGTACTCACTCAATAAGCATTCTATGGACAAATGAATGAATGAACGAAATATCTCTATGGATGTCTGGGTCCTCTGAGATTGTGTGTCCAGCCTGGCCGCTTATCCTGCCATGGGAGAAGCTCTGCAGACATTGGACAAAGTCTCACATGACATCAAGTGGGGAAAACAATCTGGTTGCTTGGCATTTAGGGCTGGTTTCCAAGCATTTGTCTTGACAGGGAGATCCTGTCTGTAATGCTGGCTGGCAGATCACTGTCCTGAGGGTGGGATGGGCCGCCCAGAGGTTACCCAGCTGCTAGGATTATGGTAGTCAGGTGAACTCCGGAATCAGAGCCAGTGATCTCGGGGAGAAGGTGGTGGTGAATGAAGACTCATTCAGAGGTGCTAGCAGCTGCTGTCTGAGATTAATTCAGTGCTGCTGTGCATTGACATTCCATAGTACATGTTGGGAAGTCTCCACTCTCTACTCCTGGCATAAAGCGTCCTGACTTCCATTTTGGCCCACAGAGAAGGGACCACATGTCTAAGAGGCAACAAAATGAGATGCTAGAGCACAGCTGCCAGGGCTGCCCACCCCCACCTCTGTCTAGGAGATGACCTCGGCAAGTTCCAATCCGATAATTTCTGCCTCTTTAATTTGGGTGTTTAGACCATTTACATTTAAGGTGATAATTGATATGGTTGGGTTTAAATCCACCATGTTGCTATTTATTTTCTGTTTCCCCCATTTGTTATTTGTTTCTTTTTTGTTCTGCTTCTTTTTTAGATTAATATTTTTTATGATTCCATTTTATCTCTTTTGTTGGCTTATTAGCTATAATTCTTTGTTGAATTATTTTAGCAGTTGTTTTGGAGTTTATAATACACATCTCTAACCTATCACAGTCTGCTTTCAGATGATATTATACCACTTCACATACAGAATCAGAACCTTACAACATTATACTCCCATTTCTCCCCTGTTGGCCTTTGTATTGTTTTTGTTATACATAGTATTGCTTCATATATTATAAACTCCACAGTACACTGTTGTTATTTTTGCTTTAAATAGTCAAATTTGTTTTTAAAGTGATTTTTAAAGTAAGAGAAAAGAGGGGTTTTATTTGCCCATAGTTGTCATTTCCAGTGCTCTTCATTCCTTTGTGTAGAGTCAGACTCCCATCTGGTATCTTTTTTTTTTTTTTTTTTTGCCTAAAGGACTTATCAACACTTTTTTTCTATACAGGTATGCTGGTGATGAATTCTTCCTGCCTTTGGATATCTGAAAACATCTTTAGTTTGATTTTTTTTTTTTTTTTTTTTTTGAGACAGGTTCTCATTCTGTCACTCAGGCTGGAATGCAGTGGCATGATCTTGGCTCACTACAGCCTTGATCTCCCCAGGCTCAGGTGATTCTCCCATCTCAGCCCCTGAGTAGTTGGGACTACAGGCATGTGTCACCATGCCCGGCTAATTTGTGTGTGTGTGTGTTTTTTGTAGAGATGGGGTTTTGCCACGTTGCCCAGGCTTTCATTTTTAAAAAGACATGTTTGCTGGATGTAGAATTCTAGGTTGACTTTATTTTTCTCTGAGCATTTTAAGGATGCTACTCTACTGTCTTCTTACTTGCATTGTTTCTTTTGAGAAATCTGATGCCGGCCTTATATTTGTTCATGTGTATATATAACCTGGGTTTTTTATTTTCTGGCTGCCTTTAAGGTTTTTAGTTTATGTCTAGTTTTGAGTAATTTGATTATAATGGCCCTTGGTGTCATTTGCTTAATGTTGTGAGAGTCTCAAGTATAATCTCGTAAGGCAAAGTGGTATAATATCAGTCGGAAGTAGAAGGTAGAGACTGTGATGAATTAATGTGCTTGGGGTTCACTGGGTTTCTTCAGTCTGTGAATTTTGTTTACATCAAATTTGGCAAATTTTCAACCATTATTTCTCCTTCAAGCTCTCTCATATATATATATATATATATTTGATCTATATATACACACACATATATACACATATGTATATATTTATCTGCTTATAAATATGTCTATCTGCTTATACACATACCTATGTGTGAGGGTGTGTGTGTTGTGTGTTGTGTGTATATGTATATTATACTGGAAGTTGTCCCACATTTTGCTGATACTCTGTTCATTTTTTTTTTTCAGTCTTTTTTTTCTCTATGGTTCATTCTGGATAGTTTCTCTTGCTATATATTTAATTTCACTAATCTTTTTTATACGAGCCTTTTTGCTGTCTTCCATATCACAATTTAGTAACTCAGTCCTTCCTCTAGTTTCCTGAACCTATGAAATACAGCTATAATCATGGTTTTAATGTCTTTATTTATCAGTTCTATCATTTGTGTCATTTCCGGGTCAGTTTCCAATGATCAAATTTTCTCCTCATTAATGGATTGAATTTCCTTGCTTCTTTGCATGCCTGGCAATTTTTTTAATGGATACCAGACACTGAATTTACATCATCATGTGCTAGGTTTTTTTGTGTGTGTTTCTATAAATATGTTTGATTTTTTTTTTTCTGGGACACAGTCAAGTTCCTTGGAATTAGTTTAATCTTTGCTTTTAAACATTTTTAGATGGAACCATATCCATGTTTAGAGCAAATTTTGTCCAGCTACTAAGGAAGAAACCTTGTGAATCCTCTGCCTAAAGCCCTGTGAGATTTTTCACTCTGGCTCCTAAGAACAGAGACTATTCCCAGCCCTGTGGGGGAACCTGGGGTTGTTCCCTCTAATCTAATCAGGTGGTTCTTTGCTCCTCAGGTAGGTTTCATACATGCACATGCTCATTAGTACTCAGAAGACAGGAGGGGCTCTCTGCTGATCGCCAGAGGTCACCTGTGCTCTTGAACCTGCTCCTCCCCACAAGCTCTCTTCTCAGTGATACTCTGCCCTGTGAACTCCAGACACCTTGGCCTCTGGATTAATGCGTTTGCATTGCTACAACAAAAATACCCAAGTCTGGGTAATTTATAAAGAACAGAAATTTATTTCTCATGGTTCTAGAGGCTGGGAAGTTCAAGATCAAGATGCCAGTGTTGGATGTCTAGTGAGAGCTGTTCTCTGCTTCCAAGATGACGCCTTCAATGCTGTGTCCTCCAGAGGGGAGAAATGCCATGTCCTTATATGGCAGAGGGCAGAAGGGCAAAAGGATAGACTACCTTCATGAAGCCCTTTTATAACAACATTAATCCATTCATGAGGGCAGAGTCCTCATGACTAAACACCTTCCAAAAGGCCCCATCTCCCAACACTATTGCATTAGGGGTTAGGTTTCAACATAAATTTAATTTTTTTTTTTTTTTGGAGATAGGGTTTTGCTCTGTTAACCAGGCTGGAGTGCAGCGGTATAACCATGCCTCATTGCAGCCTTAGTCTCCTAGACTCAAGTGTTCCTCCCACCTCAGCCTCCTGAGTAGCTGGGACTACAGGTGTGCATCACCATGCCTGGCTATTTAAAAAAATTTTATTTTGTAGAGATGGGGTCTCACTATGTTGTACAGGCTTATTTTGAACGCCTGGCCTCAAGCAATCCTCCTGCCTTGGCCTCCCAAAGTGTTGGGATTAAGGGCGTGAGCCACTGTATCCAGCCTCAACATAATTTTTTACAGGGGACAAAAACATTCTAACCATAGCAGCCACCCAGCTCCATCTCTTCAACTCAGGAAGACCCCCGGGCCCTACCTGGACTCCCTGTCCTGTGCCGTGGCCTGAAAACTCTCTCCAGATAGTAAGCAGAGGCAATTGCTAGGCTCTCTTTTGTTTTCTCTCTCTCAGGGATCACGGTTCTGTGTTGCCTGATGTCCAATGTCTTGAAAACTGTTGATTCATATGTTTTCCCCAGATTTTTTTGTTTCAGCTAAGAGGATAAACCCATTCTCTGTTATTCCACCTTGACCAGAAGGAGAAGTCAGTGAATGAACCCAGATCTCTTCTAGAGGAACAAATATATTTCCAGGGGTTTAAGTTGGGCAACCAGGATCTATTGGTCTAAGCCATCCTAATTCCTCTACTAAATTTTTTTTTCAAAAATACTGGATGCACCAAACAAGACCTTCTATATGCCATATTTGGCCCTTGGGCTGCAATTGTGAGAATCCTGGAAACAGGAAACTTTACTTGTTTCCAGGTATTTTTTACCTGTCATTTTAACTAGTTTAAGCCTAAAAATAGTCTTTGCATATTACTGTCCAAAGCTAGGAGTTGAAAGAAACAGGATTTGAACCCAGGTCCTCTCTGACTTCAAAGATACCATCATTTCCTTCATTAGATTCCTACCCCATTGTTTTCATTTGCACTGTTATATTTCACATTATTTTGTGTGTATTCTCCCACCCCACCACCCTGCACTTTGAGACTTCCTTGTCTTTGCATCCTCTAAGTTTAGCAGAGGGCCTGACCTGTAAGAGATGTTGAGAGAATTTTTGTGGAACAAATAACTTCTCTCCTTCTGTTTGCTCTCTTAATGTTTCATCCTCCTCTAGTCCACACCCATCTATTAAATGGGAGGTATGTTACCAGCAGCACAGGTGGGATTTAAATCAAGCAGCTGCTACCTGTGAGATGATGCCTCTGCTACTACAAGAGACCTGCCAAGACACAGAGTTCATTCATTGAGGAGAAAAGGGCTGGTTAACATTCTGTAAACACAAGCTTTGAGGGATTTTAAAAAATATTTAAAGTCCTGAGATATTGAAGCTGGGACATCCAACTTCAGTAGTCATCAAAGAAATTCAAATTAACAAACAAAGTATTGGCATAATTTTAAAAAACCAATAACATGGGATATTAATAAGAATATAAGGAAAAGATGACCTCATATACTGCTGGTAGCATTATAAATCAGTATAATTTTTCTGGAAGGCCATTTAGCAAAACATATCAAAAGTTTTAAATATGCTCATGTAATTTTTCTCAGCAATTTCACATTTAGCACATTATATCCTAAGGAAATAAGCAGACAGGTGCACTGTGATTTATCCATGAGAATGCTCATTGCAGCACTGTTTAGTTGAAGACTGTGGACTAGATAAATACATCACTATGAAGGATAAGCCCACAGCCTTTGAAAGCAAATACATTGAAGAATAATGACTTGAAAAATGTTTTTGAACAATTGTTAAGAAATCTTGATTAAACAATTATATGCATATTCATCATAATTAATACTTCTTGTGTGCTTTACTAATTAACTCATATAATCCTTATAATAATAATAATCTTATGAGGCAGGTACTGTCCTTGTGGACTCAGAAGTTGCATCATGGAGAGGCAGCCTAACTTCCCTGTGGGCAGGTAGTGGGTGGCAGAGCTGGATTCCAACTACTGGTGCTCAGGAAATCTTAGAACACTGAGTCCAGTGCTTCCCAAGGTGTGGTCCCTGGACCAGCAGCCCCACATCACCTGGAACTTGTTAGAAGTGCCAAATCCCAGGCCTGGTCCCAGACCTCCTGATCAAAAGCTCTGGGGGTGGGGCCCAGCAATCTATGTTTGAGCAACCCTTCCAGGTGAATGTATGCTCAGTTTTGAGAGCCACTGTGCAATTGTAAGGGCCGAAGGGAAGCTTCTCCTCTGTCCTCTTAAGGTTTGCTGAAAACGAACTATAATAGACAGATTAGTAAAAGAAAAAGGCATATGAAATTGTATTTAACAAGGCCAGGCATGGTGGCTCATGCCTGTAATTCCACACTTTGGGAGGCCATGGTGAGAGGATCACTTGAAGCCGGAAGTTTGAGACTACCCTGGGTAACAAAACAAGATCCTGTCTCTACAAAAAATTTTTTTAAAAAATTAGCCAGGCATGGTGATATGTGTCCACAGTCCCAGCTACTTGGTAATCAGAGGCAGGAGGATCACTTGAACCCAGGAGTTTGAGGCTGCAGTTGAGCTATGATTGTGCCACTGCACTCCAGCCCAGGCAACAGAAGAACATCTTGCCTCTCAAAAAATAATAATAATAATAAAATAAATTATTTAATGTGAGTAACACAGGGGAATTATAGGAGAATGATTACCCAATAACCCTTATATGCCCTTCTTCATCGGGGAAGGGGAAATGGGAGGTATAGGAGTAAGTGACTTTTTAGGGGAAATGAGTGATCCTAAAGAACAACTGCCTGAGACAAAATTCTTCTGAGCTCTGGGGGAGGTGGCGGGAAGGTAAGGGGCAGACCTTCACTGTAAACAAAGATTGTCTTACTATGCAGATGAAGCGTCCCAGGTGATCTCTAGGAGCTGCTCTCAGAAAAACAAATGAAAGTCTGTCTGAGCACGGTGACTACATCTAGTCTCTTTTCCAGTGGTTAATCTTTCCTGGTTATTTGATGAGATTCCTAGGGACGGGGAGTTTTAAGAAATTGCATTTCTCTTGGAAAGAAGCTTTCTTAGGCAGATAAGAAAATTCCAGCGACAGCCCCTCCTGGTGCTTTGGGAAAGTAAGAGGATCAGAGAGACAGGGAGGCAGGGCAAGGTCAGAAAGAGACCTTGAAACCGCTTCTTCAGTTCAGCACGTCAAAGCGCCAGATTCTGGGGTATTATTTTCTGAGCCTGAATACAACACTATTGCATCTTTTCTCGAAATTTTGTAAAAAGAAAGTATATGTATGTATAAAAAAGTCTGATGGATTGGTCATTAAAATATTAACAGTGTCACTTCTGAATGGTGGGGTTCTGGGTGATTTTTTTATATATATTTTTTTGTTTTATAATTCCAAAAGGTACATAATGAACTTCTGCATCCAAAGTAAAAGAAAAAAATACATGTTCTTTAAAAAAAAAAAAAAAAGAAGAAGGGGCCAGGCACAGAGGCTCACGCCTGTTATCCCAGCACTTTTTGGGAGGCCAAGGTGGGTGAATCACTTGAGGTCAGGGGTTCAAGACCAGCCTGGCCAACATGGTGAAACCCCATCTCTATTAAAAATACAAAATTTAGCCAGGTGTGGTGGCACAGGCTTGTAATCCCAGCTACTTGGAAGGCTGAGGTGGGAGGATCGCTTGAACCAGGGAGGTGGAAACTACAGTGAGCTGAGATTGCACCACTGCACTCCCCTGGGAGACACAGTGAGGCTCTGTCTCAAAAAAAAAAAAAAAAAAAAGGAACTCCGCTTCAATACTCAGTGAGATGGTATATATTTTGGGTAGAAGGGAAGTAGAGAAGAAAATGGTTCCCCTAAATCATACAGCAACTCCAGCAGTTCTTCTTCAGTGTGAATGAATCACCAGGGGGTCTTGTGAAAATGCAGACTTGGCCGGGTGCGGAGGCTCACGCCTGTGATCCCAGCACTTTGGGAGGCCGAGGCGGGCGGATCACGAGGTCAGGAGATCGAGACCACGGTGAAACCCCGTCTCTACTAAAAATACAAAAAAATCAGCCGGGCGTGGTGGTGGGCGCCTGTAGTCCCAGCTACTCGGGAGGCTGAGGCAGGAGAATGGCATGAACCCAGGAGTCGGAGCTTGCGGTGAGCCGAGATCGCGCCACTGCACTCCAGCCTGGGCGACAGAGCGAGACTCCCTCTCAAAAAAAAAAAAAAAAAAAAAAAAAGAAAGAAAAAAAAAGAAAATGCAGACTCAGTGAGGCTTGCGGCTAAGATGCTGCACTCCCAACCAGCTCCCAGAGGATGCTGAAGATGCTGGTCTAGAGTCCACACTTTAAGAAACAAGAGACCAGAGAGACGGAGGCTCTTAATCTCCAGAATGCAAGCTTCACGAGGGGCCTGGTCCCATGATGTGTTTCCAGTGCTGAGAACGGAGCAAAGAATAGTTATCTAATAAATAGATGGAGGTGCGGCAAGCCTCCTCATTCCTGGGGACCCAGAAATGGGGGTTCTGGTCATGGTTCTGTATCTGCTGCCAGTAATACCTTTGGCAAGCTGCGGCCTCCCTGTGATGACAACTGTCACTGGGCAGGGTGACAGCTCTGGACCCTTCTTTCCCATGACCCAATATGCAAGACCGGTTCAGCCTGGGCCAGGGCTACCCAACATGTCAGTCTTGCACCAAACAAAAAGTACCAGGAACTTGGTAACACAGGTGTTCTGAGAAGCCCAAAGAAAGGAACTAGAGATGAAGAAATATCTAAGTTGAGGTTTCCGTAGAAACATTAACTCATCTGCATAGGCTGCATGCTGCATTTGGATTACAGGTTAGGCTCGTAAGCCTGAAATAAATTATATACTCTTCGTATTATTCAACACTGTACTGTATAATAATAAATTATACAGTTATAGGCCTCAGCCCAAGTTATAACAAATTATACCACAGTGTATAATTACCCTGCACTGCACCATATAATAATAAATTAGACAGCTACAAACCTAAGTTGTGACTCCAGAAAGAGGAGAATGAATGGGGGCTACTGATCCATTCCTCTGACCAGTCAGATAAGCCCGGAGCCTGAGAATGAAGAATTTAATTGCTTATTCCTTCCTTCCTCCCTCCCTCTCTTCCTTCCTTCCTCCTTCCCTCCCTCTCTCTTTTCCTTCCTTCCTCCCTCCCTCCCTTCCTTCCTTCCCCTCTTATTCCTTCCTCCTTCTCTCTCTCCCTCCCTCCCTTCCTTCTTCTTTTCCTTCCTTCCTTCCTTCCTTCCTTCCTTCCTTCCTTCCTTCCTTCCTTCCTTCCTTCCTTTCCTTCCTCCCTCCCTCCCTCCATCCCCCTCTCATATTTGAGTGCCTCCCTGGTTTTTGGTGTAGACTTGACCATGGGAGCCTGAGCTGACTTGGAACGAGTCCCCATCTTTGAGGGCTCCCAGGCTGTGGGGTGAAGAGCATGTAAACTGAAAATGAAACAGTGTAACAACAGCTGCTGTGGAAAGAGTAAATTAATCACAGCGGCCTTGGTATCAGGTGTCTACCAGGTAGCAGGCATCAGCACAGGTGTTAACTCCTCATGCCCTGGGGGTAGGTATCATCGTCTCCATTTGACAGGTGAAGCGAGCAGAGCTAACACAAAATGTGACTCGCTTAAGGTCACACAACTATTATAGAAATGGTGGGTGGGAATTTTCACCCAGGACTGTCTATCTGACGGTTAGATTTCTCTGAGGGTGCTACCCAGTCGAGTCAGCTTGGAAAGCAAAAATCAAGTGTCATGAAAAGTACCCCTGGCAAATCCTCAGAGACACTAGGTTGGGGACTGATATTCAGTCTCCTAGTGAGTCCAGCACAGTTGGGGTTCCCTGCAGCCCAGGAGCAGGTTCCTCTTCCTTCCACAGAGGGTACTGGCTGGGGTAATACTGGACCATAATATAATCTAGTGCCAGTGTGGATTAGGAGCTACTGTGAGGACTTCACAGGTGTTAAGCTCATTTTATCCTCTCAACAACCTTATGAGGTTGGTACTTTTCTTATGCCCACTTTACAGGTGAGGAGTCCCAGGCACAGAGGAGTTAGCAACTTGCTCGGGGTTGTACAGCCAGGAAGTGGCGGAGCTGGAGTCTGAATTTGGAGTAGTCTGGTCTGCCAAGTCCCTCATTCTTTCCCACTATACTGCCAGTTTTTTGGGTTTTTTTCCAGCTTATCTTTAAAGACTTGTCCTTAGGTAGCTGTAGGATGAGGGGCCTATGGGGACTGAGCCTCAGAGAGCAGATTCTGCCTCTATCTCATAACCACTTAGGGTGTGTGCCCATTGAGCCACATGGTCCTTACTTAATTTCTTTCTCTCTTCTTGTCTTTCTTTCTGTATTTTTTCTTTTTTCTTTTGTCTGAAGCACACGTTAAACTTGCATAAGCTGTAATTTTATTGTAATCAAACTGTCAAAGAGGCCCAAAGTGACAGGGAAGTGAATGCAACTGCCTCTCTTCCTGCAGTGGTCAGGGAAGGCTTCTGGGAGGAGGTGGCATTAAAGGCATAAAGGGTGAATAGGAGTTTAAACAGCACACAAGGAAGGCAGGCAAGAAGAGTGAAGGTACAGGTGAGAAGAGATTGTTTTGGGAGGGACTCTTAAGTCCTTCCAGGTGGCTGTGTGAGCTGGGCAGGAGGCGAGGTGGGGTGGCAGACAGGGCCTTTCAGTGCCTCACTAGGGGAGCTGGACTTTATGTTAAAAGCAGCGACCGTCAATGTGTGGACGGTGGG
The DNA here is from genome assembly GCF_000001405.40 of Homo sapiens. Classification (NCBI taxonomy): domain Eukaryota; kingdom Metazoa; phylum Chordata; class Mammalia; order Primates; family Hominidae; genus Homo; species Homo sapiens. The sequence goes on along the minus strand of NC_000020.11, from coordinate 1,951,673 downwards.
CTCCTTGGGGATGTCCGAGCTCCACACTGTAGCCAAGACAGGGAAACCAAGGCCCCGTAAGGCTCCTCAGCCTGTCCCACCCCACTCAGTTCCCCAAGGCTCTTCCATGCTGACCAAGCACTTACCTAAACGCTCTTATCCTCATGTCTGGCTGACGGAAGCGGCTCAGTCTGGCAGGTCTCTCTAGAAGGGCATCTACTGGGGGACGGAGAGAGGGTTGACAGAGAAAATACAGGATATCTATGCCCAGTTACAGTTGAACTTTGGACAAACAGCAAGTGATTTTTATATCTCAAATATTGCATGATATATACTAAAAGTATTCATTATTTTTATGAAATTCAAATGTGATTGGGGGTCCTCTATTTTTATTTGTTAAATCTGTCTAGTCTAGATGGAGGGGAACAGGTCACTTCCCAAATAGAATTGAAACCCCTGTGCCTTAGTCAGCATCCCATCAGAGAATTAGAGATGCTGAGCCTTTAGGAGTCATCTAGAACAAGGGATTCTGCCTCTAGTGTGGACTTGCAAGGCCCATGGATCGGCTGGACCAGCAGTCGGAAGGAAGAGGTGCCACGGACAAGAGTAAGAACAAACGGGAACATGTGTCTGTCCGCCACCCCTGCCCATGTCACTGCCACAGTGACCTGCAGGAGAATCCGCCGCCTTCCCTCTGAGAGGCTTTGTAACCATGGTTACAAAGGAAGGGCCCTGGGGAGTATGGAATCTGCACCTCATTTCTGCCCTGGTCTGTAACTTTGGGTAAGTTACTGATAGTAGTCAACTTCTCCATACCTTGGTGTCCTCACACATTAAATGTATACAAAAACTCACACCTCCCTTAGAGAGCTGCGGAGAAGATCCAATGGGAATGAGCCCAGCCTGGCAGCTGACATTTCCTAAGCAGTCAATTAATAATAGTTACTAGCAGTGTCAAAGAGTTGCTATCCATTTATTTTGCTGTAAAAAAAAAGTCACTTGTTTTAAAAGACAAGATAGGCTGGGTACGGTGACTCACGCCTGTAATCCCAGCACTTTGGGACACCAAGGTGGGTGGATCACCTGAGGTCAGGAGTTCGAGACCAGCCTGGCCAACATGGCGAAACCCTGTCTCTACTAAAAATACAAAGATTAGCCAGGTGTGCTGGTGTGTGCCTGTGATCCCAGCTACTTAGGAGGCTGAGGTGGGAGAATTGCTTGATCTGGGGAGGCAGAGGTTGCTGTGAGCCAAGATCATGCCACTGGACTCCAGCCTGGGCGACAGAGTGAGACTCTGTCTCAAAAAAACAAAACAAAAACAAAAGACAAGATATTAAGAGGCAGTATGTTTCAAAATCCTCTCTTGATTAAGTAACTCACCAGGTAAGTCTTGGAAAGATAACATAAACCACCTTCAAAAGCATCTCCAAATGCCAAAGTGAAAATCAGATACCGCGTACAAGAGAGCTACGAATCTCTGAAATCTTAGCGATTCTTCCCCCAAATAAATGGAACAGAGAAGCGCTAAGTAATGGGAAAATAACAAAATTCTGCTTCAGCACTGTTACAGATGCAGTGACTGCTGATTAAAAGAAAATACTTCCTTTAAAAAGGCCACTTATGAAAAGGAAACTCTGGTAGCAAAAGCTGGCATGGAATGGGGGTCAGGCAGCAGGTGGTGGCCACAACCAGGGGGCATTGATCACATGTGAGATGGGGAAGGCCAGTGGGCCTCCAGGAGGGCTGAAGGGCAGAGGACCCAGAGGACAGTGGCTCCCTTCCTTCCCGCTGCTCAGAGAGTGGTGGGGAGAAGGGTTTCCTGTAACCTCAGGGCCTGTTTTCACTGCTTGTTTTCATGGCCATTCAATGCTCTGGCTTGTTTTCAGGCCTGAAGAGGGAAAAAAAAATAAAAGTCAATTCCTTGTATTTGGAAGAATAGGGGTAAACTGGCCCTCTTCAGGGTGTTGGAAGCCTCTCTCTGCCTCCTGCTGGAAAAAGAGGCCCCTGGGCAGTCTTTTTAGCCACTTAGCCTGGTTCTGAGGTTTTCTTCTTAACAACTTATAATTCCAGATTGCAGCAAGAAATACAAATGCATTGGAGACCGGGTCTGTGCCAGAGGTGGAGGGGTTGGGCAGAGTGTTCCCAGGAGCACAGCAGGAGGAGAAAGTTCCAGGGTAGAAACTGGAACTCCTGCATGTTGGACACAAGTGGAATGGAGGCAATGTGGCCATCTGGATATGATTAAAAAAAAAAAAAGTTCACCCCTTTGATCCAAGCATCTCATATCTGGGGCTATCTATGCAATAATGTTTAAGACAAAATTGTTTGCAAGTAGGGAAAAAATAGAAACAGTCCAGCTCTCCATCAATAGGGAATTCATTAATTAAATTATTATGTTGACATCTGTCAGTGGCAACTTGTTTCTTTTTTTCCTTCAACTCTGTCTTCCCCATCAGCTGGTCCCGTGGGCTCTGCCACTGAGGCATGTTCCAGGCTGGAGGCTGCATCCCTAGTCCCTGCCACCATCGCCTCTTGCCCGTGCCTCTGAATCCTGTAGCCTGACAAACTTCCTGGTTCCTCCATTGGTGCCTCTCCAATCTGTTCCTACACAGCTGCAGGACCCCCGGGTTCAGGGACTTCACATGTCTCTCAGGCTAAAATCCACAGGCGCTGTCTCACTGGGCCCTGGCCTGACTCTCCAACCTGGTTTCAAAAATGCTCATTCTTTACCTCCAGTTGAATCACACTTGAGCTTAGTGCAGCCTCCCAGCCTTTGCCCTGGCTGCTTCCTCTGCCTGGACTGCTCCATTCTCCTTCCTTCTCTTCCTTCCGGTGGCAGTAAAATGCCATATCCCTGGGGACTTCACGCACTGTCTGTAAATTGTTTTCCCTCTCCCAACCAGCGTCTCTCTAACACTTTGTCCATCTTTTCTTTTTACTTTTTTCTTTTTTCTTTTTTTTTTTTTGTTTTTTGAGACAGAGTCTCACTCTGTCACCCAGGCTGGAGTGTGGTGGTGAGATCTCGGCTCACTGCAAACTCTGCCTCCCAGATTTAAATAATCCTGGTGCCTCAGCCTCCAGAATAGATGGGATTACAGGCATGCACCACCACATAGAGCATTTTTGTTTTGTTTTGTTTTTTTGTATTTTTAGTACAGATGGATTTTCTCTACTAAAACCCTAGGCTGGTCTTGAATGCCTGGCCTCAAATGATCTGCCCGCCTCGGCCTCCCAAAGTCCTAGGATTTCAGGCATGAGCCACAGAGCCTGGCCCCATCTTATTTTCTTCATAGCACTCAGTATAAGGTGAAATGCTCTCAACTATTTATTCATGCATTTGTCAATTATCCCTCCCATGAGAACTCAGAGCAAGGACTGAGTGTGTTGTATGCCCTTGCCTGGTGTACAGGAGCTGCCCGCTCTACACATGTTTGGTGAATGAATGAATGAATGAATGAATGAATACAAGAATGTTATGAAGCTGCTTGAAAGAATGAGGTAGACCTGTATGTCTTACTTGGAAAGGTGCCTTAAATGTATACATGTAAATCCACTTATGAAAAACCAGAAATTAATCAAGTCTATGGAATTAGAAGAGTGACTAGTTTTTGAGGGCTCACTATCATCTGGGCACAGTTTTAACCACTTTTACATTTATTGTCTTGTCTCATTTGGTCCTCACAGTAACCTTCTGGGATAGGTACAGTTTTTGGCACCATTCTACAGAGGAGGACGCTGACACAGAGAGGTTAAGAAACTTGCTTAAGGTCACGCAGTCAGGAAATGGGGGAGCCAGGAAATGAATGTATAGGGTCTGACCTCTGAAAGAACATTCACTAAATGGTGTAGAGTGTTTATTTCGGGATGGACAGGGGCTGAGGTGAGATTCTGGAGGCCGTGGGGTATTAGGGGAGAGGTCCAGACGCCAATTCTATTCCTGCAGTACTGTGTGATCTTGGGCAAGTCATCTGCTTCTCTGTGCTTACCTGGGAACCAGAGGCGATGGTGCAGGGCTACCGAGAGAAGTAAATAGGATAACGTACCCACAGCGCCCAGCTCGAGGCCCTCCATCAGCCGACGATGGGAATGTTTGGTGGAGTAAGTCTGCCCTTCAAGGCCTGAAAGCCCCGTCCCGGTTCCCTGCGCCAGGGCCGCACAGGGGTGGGGAGAGGGCCGCAGGGCCTGGTTGCTTGGCTTGAGGCAGGGTCCTCCCTCAGGGCCTCGGCTCTCCCAGCTGTCGGCCGCGCTGCAGCTTCCCCTGCTCTGGACCGCGACTGCCTGGGCTGGGCGGCCGCACCACGGAATGCGCAGGGGTCATTTTTGGAAGAGCTCAGCTCCAGGCGCAAGGTGCCAAGAGCAGGGCGGATGACTTCAAAGGGCCTTTGCAGCACGTCCTGAAAGATGAGCCCTTGCAGCTCTCCCTGCCCCCGCAGAACACACAGCTTGAAAGGGAAATCGAGCTCGGAGCAGGTGGCTCAGGAATTTGGTGCACGCTGGGGAGGCAGCTCATTTGGGCACAAATACGCGAGGAGGGCGTGGCCTCCTTACACTCCCGGTTAGTATTGCGCGTTTGGGTCCGGGGTAAGCTCGCCTTCTGAGCTTTCATCGCTGGCCGCATTTCGCATTTATTTTTCTGTTTATTTCATGATCCCTTTCTTCCCCGACGAGGGCCTGGGATTTGTCTGTTGCTCTCTGTGTCTACAGTTCGACCTGCAGCGGAGGATGAGTAAATGTTTCCCTAGTGAATGAATGCGTTTTCCTCTTCCACCGGTTTCATCACGTTGGAAAGGCACCGGGGTTTAATCCTGCCTCTAGTAATAACCAGTTGGGTAATCTTGGACTTCGCTGTTCAGCTATAGGCTTAAAATCTGCCTCCATTTGAACCCAGGCCCTGCCTCTTACTAGCTGCGTCACTTTAGAAAGTTGCCAAACTTCTCTGTGTTTCAATTTCCTCATTTGGGCAACGGGGTACTGAGTGCCTATGTCACAGATTGGAGTGAGGGATAAAGGGCTTAACACATACGAAGCGCGACTAGGACGGCACATAGTAAGGTCTAGATAAATATTAACTCGTATTATTTTATTATTATTTTAAAATCAACTTTATTAAAGTATTAACTTACAAACAATAAAATGCACTCATTTTAAAGTATACAGTTTGATGAGTTTTGACTGATATGTACACCCATGTAAGCACCACCTCAATCAAGATAAGCATTTCCAGGTCCCCGAAAGTTCCCTTTGTCCCTTTTAGTCAAGTGCTTCCCTCGCCCTAGCACCTGACTGATGAGTTTTGCCGGTTCTCGAACTTTCCATGAGTCTGGGAATGGTGGTTCACGCCTCTAATCCCAGCACTTTGGGAGACTGAAGCAGGAGGATCACTTGAGCCCAGGAATTTGAGACCAGCCTGGGCAACGTAGGGAGACCCAGTCTCTACAAAAATTTTTTTAAAAAATTAGCTGGGCTGGTTGGCATGCACCTGTAGTTCCAGCTACTTGCAGGCTGAGGCAGGAAGATCACTTGAGCCCAGGAGTTTGAGACCAGCCTGGGCCACATAGGGAAACCCTGTCTCTACAAAAAAAATTTAAAAAAAATTAACCAGGCATAATGCATTGCACTAACACTTATTCCACACTCAAGAAACGCTCTCTCCTACCTCCTCTCCCTTCTTCCCGTTAAAGGGGTCCTTCCAAGGGTATCGGGAGGCAGGAATCTAAAGGTCAAGGGCACTGTGGAGTTGATGGGGGAGAAACCACTGTGTTTATAAAGCAGGTTGTTATTTTTTCATTCTTTGCCTTGTGTCCTTTCCCCTACTTCCCTCTTTTGAGGATAATTAAAATGCAAGCTGGCACTCCCTTGGAGGAGACAGCTGAAGATTTAATTGCCCCAAGAAAAATTTTCCAGCAAAAGGTCCTGTGGTAATGGCAGCTCTCGGCCGGGCTGCCCGAGTGCCTTTGCATCTGGCACAAAACATTAGCGATAATGCATTAATCTGCATGTGCACAGGGTCCATTTACTGGCATGGGGGGGAGCCATGGCAGAATCAAGCCGACAGCCTTAGTCAGGCTGCAGCCTTCTTGCCATTAAACTCTCACCCGGCCTCATTCTGGAGACAGGTCTGTGGCCCAGATCCATGCGACCGGCTGCCGCACCAGCTGACCTTGCCCAGAGAGGGCCTGCGGGGGCAGAAGGCCCAGGTTGGTGGGAACGGCACCTTCTACCATGAGGGCTTGGCCTGTTGTCATTGAAGCAGAGCCAGGAGGACAAGTCTGTTGAGAGGCTGAGCCCCGCCAGCTCCCAAAGTTGAGCCATTGACCAGCCACGCTAGGGTTGTGCAATTTGAGAGTAGACAAATTTTTGCAATCTTTTATCCTGTTTTCTAAGTATAGCCCCAGTTTCTCTAGAAGAGGAACCAAAGGCTCAGACAAAGGTCATTGGCTCCTTGCCTGTTGGGGATCATGCGTCATTTTTTTAAAAAAGTGATTGCCCTGAACCCAGGATCATGATGAAAGGCAGAGAAACTCAGTGGGAAAAGTCAGATGTACTGAGGTTTGCTTCTAGTTCCAAACCTGCCAGCCAGGGACTCTCAGTTCTCCTAAAATGCCAAGCAGACTCCGACTTTTATGCTCTTCCTTCTCCCCCTTTGCTCTCTTCCCTCCCTCTCCCCCTTCCTTTCTTCCTTCCCACCCATCCACCCATCCGTGCTCTCCTGCATCAATCCAGCCATCCATTCAGCCTCCCTTCTTCCATCCATCTATCCTCTCATCCTCCTTCTCATCACTCCGTCCATCCTCCCATCCCTCTAATATTTGCTGGGTGCCTCCTATGGGCTTAGCATAGGAGTTACACTGATGAGTGAATCAACACCCTCCTTGCCCTGAGGCAGCAACTGGGGCAGTAGAGGAGAGGATGGTAATCATGTAATCACAGTGCCAATGTATAATTACAAATTGAGATGAGGGCTACAAAGAAGGGCTGGACATGGTTACTATGGAAGTGTTTGACAAGGGAACTTAGCCCAGCCTCTGGATTGGAGGACAAGCAGGAAAGATCCAGGGAGTGTTGCAGGCAGAGGGAGTAGCTCATGCCGGGGTCCTGTGGTTCATTTTAGAAACTGGCAGGAGGCTGGTGTTGCCAGTGCAGGGAGTGATGGAGAGAGTGGTGTGAATCGGGCTGCAGAGCTCAGTAGGGGCCAGTGCACACAGGGACGGCTGGCCTCTGCCAGGCACTGGCTCCTTGGAACTCCTTTGCACTGGCTCTTTTGCACTTACCTGGCTTCTTGTTACTTATTTTTTAGATCTCAGTTCAGGGATTTCCTCTTCAAGAAGTCTTTTTCTGCCCTGTGCAGGCTGAATGAAGCCAGTATACTTTCCTTTAATAAGACAAAGTATCTCAAATTTGGAAATAAGGCAAAAGAAGGCAGTGCTTCATCTCGTTGCCATACTGGGGCACGGTTTAAAAGCCCCACTGAAGGATTAGTTAGTTCTGTAGAAGAATATACCTGAGTTTGTCTTTCCTATTTGATTAAGGCCCAGATTGGGGCTAATTTGTAGACTTTTGTCTGGTGGGTGCAAATGGCTTCTGTCTGGCAGAAAAAAAATATCTCCAAAGATATGGCCTTATTGCCTTGTGGGACATTAACCGGATTGATCTCTAACTTGAAAATGTTATTCTCACCTTCCTTTTTCAAAGCCTCTAAGTGCCCATTTACTCTTGGAACCAGCTCTTGCCCCACTGCTGGCTCACTCATTAGTGTGTTAATTCTGCACTTGTACGTCATGTTTGTCACGCCCTTCTCAGCAGCGCTCATCCCTGCACTGGGATTGCCAGTGGCTCTGGTTCCCTCATATATGAGCTCATATGGGTGTGGTCCATTTTTTGTCCACATTGTGTCCTCAGAACTTTGCACAGGGCCAGGTTCCAGTAGGAGCTTGAGAAATAATTACTAGTTGAAAGATCTTGAACTTATTACCTCTCCACCTCTCTGAGCCTCAATTTTCTTCCCTGTGAAATTGACATTCCATTTGTAAAGAATGTGAAGGTTCCATGAAGTAAAGAATTCGAGTGTCCAGAGTCCAGCGTGGCACATGGTAGGCTTTAGTCTCCCTTATCCTAGGGGCTGAATCCCAAAGGTAGAGCGTGAAGTTCTGGTTTGGGAGCTCATGTCTGGTCAAGAGGACACCAAGTCACTGGAGGAATGACTCATGGTGGGGCTAGGGAAGTCAAAGGAGTTGCTATATAGTATTTCTTGGGAGAGGAAAATCAACCTGGCCAAGGAGTCCAGCAGGGGCTGGGGAGGAGCAGGAAATGTTCTTAAACAGGTCAGGTGGTGGTATAAGGCAGAGGACTCCGAAAACCAAGCTGGGGTGTTGCACCCCATACCCGAAAGGTTGGTAAGAGAGACCTATCTCAGGCTAATGAGAAAGAGAGGGACTTGATAAAATTATTCGTCAGAAGACCCACCATTGCAGCGATGCTCTAATAACCTGGCCTGATATGTGAGTGTGTGGGTGTGAATGTGTGTGTGTTTCTGTGCATATGTCGACTGCTGTCTGCACCACACTGCTGCAAAGAGTCTTAAATCTACTTTCTCATCGAACTCTCGCAAGAACCCCCGGAGGTGAAGGCTGCTACTATCCCTGTTTCACAGGTGACAAAGCAGAGGCCCAGTGGTGAATCTCTTTGCCCAAGGTCACAGGGCAAGGACTCTGGGGTGCAGTTGTATCCGATTCCAATGGGTGGAGGAGGAGGAAAAGTGATGGAAGGAATCTCAGGAGATGAAGTGATAACAGATAATGGCTTATGCTTGTAGCCATCCTTAATCTTTGTGCTGTTTAGCATCTTTCACTGTTTTCTGTGCTGTTTTGATCACGGGGATGTTCATCTTTCCAATGAACTCAGCGACACTCCTTGGGCCCCTCACTGGGGCCAGGCCCTGGGCTGGGTTCAGCTACCGAAGATAAGGTGTTGACACTAACTTTAAAAAATAGATTGGCCGGGGGTGGGGAGGGGCAGGCATCAAAGGTTGAGGGGGACAGGGCTGGGCATCTATCTTTTAAAAAATTCAAGGCATAACTTATATACAGGGAAATGCACCCATCTTAAATGTGCAGCTGGAAAGGTTTTTACATATGCAACCTCCCAGATAACCACGACTCAGGAAGACGTAGAGCATGTGCCACCCCAGGCTTCTCCTGGTCCTCCCTCCAAGGGCAGCCACTCTTCTGATCTCTGTTGCCAAGGTTTTGCCTGTTTTTGAACATCAGGAGCACGTCTTCTTAAAAAGCATCTTCAATGTCATAATCTTGTATTCAGAAAAGAAACCAAGAGCCTGGTCAGGCACAGTGAAGAGGGTGGTGAAGCGGGGTGGTGTCGGGGATCCCAGCAGTGGCAGGCTCAAGGGTGCCTCGGCTGGCTGGTGAGCAGCCAGGCAGCCATATCACCCTGATGTTCTGACACTTTGGTGGTGAGATGTGGTGTTTCTGGCTACTGACAGTGTCCAGTGTATCCTGAACATTATCTATGCCCCCCACTTTCTCACTATCAGCCCCAGCCCCCATCATATGCCCATTCAGTGCTGGACTAGACCATACCCACAGTGGCGTCACTTCCCGGATGGCGACCTTGGAGCAAAATGCTTAATCTCTCTGTGTTTCCATTTCTTTATTAAGTGGGGGATAATCATAGTACCTAACTCATAGGTTTGTTAAGAGAATAAAGTGAATTAATTTTAATAAATACTTGTCCAGAGTTTAGGAGAGTGTCTAATATGTAGTATGTGTTTATGCCAAAATTAAATAAACCTTCGTCAAAACTTGGCTGTTGGAAATGTGCTAGAAGACACATGGGCTTTTACAGTTGGGCATTCAAATCTTGGGGTTGGGGGCCAGTGGAGATTTTCCTGATTATCACGTAAAATGGGCAGGGGCTTCAGGTGGAAGGCAGAGGACTCTGGCCTGGTCCTCATGGAGGAAGGGAGTCTTAGCATTCTCCTTTGCACCAGGAGGAACCCCAAGGAGGTGTCCGATAAATGCCAAATGCTTGACTGATTTCCTGGAGGGCTGGAAAAGGGCCACTTAGCTCCCATCAACTTTCATTTCGCCTGCCAGCCTCCAGCCCTGGAGATTTGGCCGTGGAGAAGCAAGGCCCAGGTGCTGCATGAAATACACCCACCAAGTCTCCTTGTCTGGACACGCAGTCCATCATCCCCCACCTTCCCAGAGAATGGAAGGCATTTCCCCACCCACTCGGCCTGGATTCATGCCTTGAACACCCCATTCCTGCAAGCAGTGCACATATTTCATGGGTTGCTCCCGGAGGGAGGCGGAGAGCTGAACTCAGGCCACGGGCCAGGAAACTGCTGAGCTGTCTGTTACAGCCAAGGTCCTGGCCTGAGAGGAGGGTGACCTCTCTGAGCCCCGCAGAAGGCTCCTTGGTTCAGGTGGTCTCTGATCACATGGACCAGGCCAAGGGTGTAGGGATGATCCCCAGTGGGCTTGTGGATCTGAGTTCAAGTCTCAACTTGACTAAAGACTCTGCGTGAGATTGGTCATGTCACATGCACTTCCAGAACCTCATCTTTCCTTCTTTGCAAAATGGGCACAACCACAGCGATCTGATAGTCATGAGAATTAAATGAGGCAGTAAGTACAGTGTGGGGGAGAAGAGTCAGATTCCCTGGCTTCAAACTGCTCTGCCATGGGACATTGGAGAAATGACTTCTCCGTGTCTCAGTTTCCTTATCTGCAAAGCACAGAGAACAAGAGTTCCTCCCTCATGTAGCTGGGAGAAGGAAATGAGTTCTAACTGTGAAGCACGCGGCAGCACACTTGGCATAGCTGTTATTAGCTATCATGGTGGTTAATTTTGCAGTCAGTGGTCCATACATGACGTATTGATTATTAACCCAGTGGCTAAGCATCAGGCACTACAGTTATCCAGTTGGAACTGGAGGCTCAGTAACATCACTCATTAGCTGTGTGAACCTGTGTAAGTTGCACCCTCTCTCTGTGTCATCTACAGTCAGTAACATAATTGCCCTTGAGTCACAAGGTTTAAGAATTCATCAAGGTAAAGCGTTGACACATAGTAACCACTAAATATTAACATATTTATGCCTTAACTTTATTACATAATTAGCACTAATATCATTAATGATCTAATGGAGGGATAGAAAGGAAACTAACATTTATTGAGCACCCACTATAAACCAGCACTTGACATCAGTCATCTGGCAAGGATATTACAGGACAAGCATTAGATGTCTGCATTTGGTGGGGAAGGAAAGTGAGGCCCCAGGAGGAGGGTGAGCCGGGTGTCCGAGATCCCATCAGTGGTGAGAGGCCACGAGACTCAGCTATGCAGGGTCAGGGCAGGAAGGAAAGACACAAGCCTCAGTGATGGCCTACCCAGTGCCAAGCGTGGGCTCAGTGCTTCCAACCTCCTTGAATCCACACAGTCACCCTGGCAGGGACTATTCCTGCCCCATTGTGCCGACGCGGGGCCCAAGTCTCAAAGAGGTGCTGTTTGAACTCCCACAGCTACAAAGCAGCAGAGCCGAGATCCAAACTCAGTTGTCTATATGGAATTTTATCTCAACCTTACACCGGCTCCTTCTGAGCCAGGGCAAACAAAAATTGTACGTCTCTAAAACCTACGTGAGGGGCTCAAATGCTGTAGGTTGTTTCCAAACCCTGGGGTCCATTCAATCCTCTTCCAGGCTTTGGCAGGAGGGCAGGCAGGCCCCGAGGCGGCCCCGGGACGCACTCACAAAGACAAGAATACTGAACACCGGAAGGACTCATTATTACCCAGAAATCTTTATTACAAAAATATTTTGCAAGCCAAAAAGTTTAAGTTGCAACTATATACAAAATGGGGCCTGTTTCCTTCCCAGCAGTCTTAAAATAAACTCCTGAAACCATGCTCCTTCCGCAGGGTTGGTTCGACCTCTTCCTTTTCCTGGGGTTCAATACACAAGGTATGTGGATTCTCCAGGTTGCCAGGCTAAAGCTAAAGCTATACATCTTCCTTGGCCTTATTCCCTTATTTCCCCCTCCAAGAATTAAAAAATAAAATAAAATGAAAATGGCACCAAGAAAACATTCTTTTAAAATACTGAATGTGTGTGTGCATGCGTGTGCACACGTATGTGCTGTCTCTGGGTAAAAGAGAGGGAGACGAAGGTTTACAAGCCAATCTTTTGGAATTTGGAACTAGCCTGAGCCAGGTGGCTGGGTCACTGTGGCTCCCAGATGCCACACGGGAGCTCTGGCCAAAGCTGTCCACATGGTCTGTTGGCTCAGCTAATTCCTGGATGCCATCATTGAAATCACCAGGTGACCATCCCCCAGAGAGCTGGGTCTATGCTGAGCTCCTGCAGTTTCACCTGTAGGACCTCCAGGAATGGGCAGGATGGCTCAGCTACTTTTACAGCCTGAGCCAGAAATCCCTTGGGCATCCCAAGGCCAGGAGTCATGAACATTAGCGTCTCAACTCTAAGAGTTATAGTGAAGACTGAATAAATAGGGCTTGCGACATCTGCTTGCCCTGGGCCCGGTCAGGCCCTCACACCCGACTGGAAGGGTGGGGGTTAAAGGGTAACTGGGTCACACCCTCTGGCCAACCTTCTGGGACAGAGGGGGAATCAGCCCGAGCTTCACAGCTGCACCATCCCCCTGGCTGTCTTCAATTTATTCCAGTTTGATCCCAGTAGGGTTTGAGAGCAGAAATGGAAGATTTCTTCTTCAAGGATCAGCTCAGAAAGCCGGGATGGGGGCGGTCACTAAAGGGGTAGGATAGACGGCCAGGGCCACTATCCCTACCCTCTGTGTGTTCCTAAAGTGCTTATGAGAGGTGGTGGGGAGGGGTGTCATCTTCACTATCCCCACTTTACGGATGAGCAGACTGAGGCATTGGGTCTCGATAAGACTGCACTGTCAAGAGGCAGCCCTCAGCAGCCCTGGGCAGGCTGGACTTACCACAGCGGGGTCACAGAAGGCTGCACTACCAGCCGCGTGGCTCAGCTGAGAACATGGCCAAGTCAGTCCCAGCCAGAAGGCTGTGTCTCCAGGGAGTGGCTGACCTGATCCTTCTTGCCCATTCTTGGGGTTCTGGGACTTGGAGGAACTCAAGTCTTCGCTGTAAGAAAATCCCTCCAGGACAACAAACTGTTAAACCTCAGACTTCACAAGACCCAACCATGGACTTCAACACATGACAGACAGCCAAGATCACGTTGCTGTTGTTTTAAGAAAAAAAACAAAACAAAACACCACAGATCAAGTTTTCTAACACCTCAGTTTCAAGATTGCACGTTTCACATTTCTCAGTAATTTACAGGCGTCCACAGCGAGATGTTGCTTAGTGCTAGCTGGAGGGGCAAGCTCAGGTCTAGAAGGGAGAGATGGGTCCGGGTGGAGCAACACAGTTGGGCCCCAGGGAGTCTTGGAGGGACCCAAGGAAGCAGAGGGTTTTGTCTCCAGTCCTTTGGGAGGGGTCCTCTCCTCCTCCAGGACTCATGGCTCTTTAGCCTAGGGATGGGGGAGGCCAGGACTGTTGGCAGCAACCTCACCAAGCCTGGATATGGGTTCCAGAGTTTTTTTCCAGCTTTTCCATGGAAGGGGCAGTTTGATCTAAAGGGGAAATCTTCCCCACTCTAGCCCCAGTTGGGTGGTGGTGGTAGTGGTGGTGGTGGTGGTGGTGGTGGTGGTGGAGGTGGTGGAGGTCAGGGGAGGTGGGATTTTCTCCTCCCCACCCTGGAAGATCAGGCTTCGGAGCATCGGGGAGGCAGTCGAGGGTCTTCAAAACCCACATGGTGATGGACGGAGGCACAAGAGTTCTTGGACCCCAGGCAGTTCTGGCCACTTCCCAGGTTGGTTCCCTGGCTGGTTTGGCAACGTCAGCCTCCAGGTATGTGGCAATGTGGGGGGAGGGGGCCGTGGCTGCCCAGGAAGTGCTGGAGAGCCAAGGAGGGGTGGGGAGAGAAGAGCCACCCTGGCCCCTGGGTCCCAGAGCCTGCACCGCCCCAGCCCTCCGGGAACTGGGTTGGCTGTGCTCATCACGGCGGCTCCCTGTGGGACAAGAAAGCGCGTAGAGATGGGTGCTAGAGCAAACCACGGTCCCATTCACTTCCTCGGGACCTGGACGCTGGCGTACTCTGAGAAGGACGGCTCAGGCTTGGGGGCCGGCTGCTTGGGGGTCCGGTTGAGGTGGACCATGTCCAGGTCAGCATAGGTGAGGGTGTCCTCCGACGCGGGCTGCGGGCTGGTCTGAATGCTGGCATACTCCGTGTGGTTGTTGGGCTCCGCAGCCTGGGGAGCAGGCTTCTTCCCCTTGGGCAGGTTCAGGTCTGCATATGTGATATCATTTGTGTCCTGGATTTAAGATACCCAAAGAGAAAGTCATGAGAAGGTCATTCTATAGCCCCTGGCCCACTCACTCAAACTGAATACCAAGTCTGGATGCTTCTGTGTCCTCTCGGCCCACACTGGCTCAGCCATAAGTCATGTTCCCCTCATCTCTTGCCAACGTTACTTGCCTCCAGCCTTGCCCCTTCCCATCTGCCCTCCTCCTCACCCTGCCTGAAGGGTCTTTCTGACCCGCACAGTGCAGTCTCCTCACAGCCCCGCCTCAGTGTCACCTCCTCCCGTTCCTGCCTCCTCCTAGCCTGAACCACCTGCAGTCTTCACCCATTTCTCATGTTCATCCCTCGAGGGTGTCTGTCCTGCTTCTCCTTGTAACAAATCCCAATCCACCATGTAAATTTCAGATGAAGCATGGCTCATACTAAGACCCTCCCTGGCTCTCCCCTCTCCTGGCAGGGTCCATGTTCCTTCTTTGTGCTTCCTCAGCCCATGTTTGTTTTCCATCACAGGGCCCGCTACCCAGGACCATGTCTGTTTGGGGGCCTGAGGAGGTGCTGCTGATGGTGGTACGTGTGGGGACATTCATTAATGTATGCGTTTATTCCACAAATATTCACTGGGCATTTGTTATGATTCAGAAACCAAGGCTGGCACATAAGAAGTCTGATCCATATTGAATGAATATATGAGTGGATGGCAATAATTTCACCTTCACTCAGGGCAAAGCTGGGGACAGGGAGACAGAGAACAGGGGCAGTATAAGAACGAGATCGCCAGTTAGTGAAGCGGGAAACGTTCTGGAGTCAGAAAGCCTGGGTTTGAATCCTGGTTCTAGCTCAGGGATTTTGAGCAATTCACTTAACCTCTCTGGGCCTCAGTTTCTCCATCTGTAAAGAGGGGATGATAATAGTGTCTACTGCCAGGGTTGCTGTGAGGATGGAATGAGATTATCCAGGTAAAGCGTTTAGAACAGAGCCTGGTACCTATTGAGCATCTGTCTTCAATAAATGTTCGCAATCATTAACCACTTAGCAAACTTGGATACCTCCCATGTGCTAATCCTATCAACCTGCCACTGCCGCCTCAAAAGCGCCCATCATGAATGATAAACTTTGCTCCCTCTGTGACTGGCCCCTGCGTGATAGAACAGAATAAAGCTACCACCAACCGGCACACCTCCTAGTTGGTGCACGGTAATGGCTGATTTCAGTTCTCAGGGCTTACAAGCAGCACACAATCACATAGATCACCCCATCCACTCTTACCACAACCCTGCTTGGGAAGGATTATCTATTCCACTTTACGGCTGAAGACACTGAGACCAAGGGAGGTTCAATAAAGTGGACAAAGTTGTCCGGCTGGCAAAGAACCAAAGTGTGTTGGACTCTACGACTGTGCTCTTAGCACACAGCTCCTCTGTCCTGAGCCCTGCGTGCTCTCATTTGCTTCTGTCTGGGAAATCCGTGTTGACAGCGTGCAACTCCCTCCCTGGCCAGGGCTGGCACCTGGCACTGGAATCGCAGGCACTCTGCCAGCTGGGCTGTGACTGTCTGGCTCACTGTCCAGTGCGTGGCACACAGTGGGTGCCCAGTAAGTCTCTGCTGTGAATTTCGTAGAGGTTTCCATGACCCATTCTTCTCACCATCATTTTTTTCCCCCAGAAGATTCCAGGAGGAAGTCCAGAAGTAAAATGATGGGGGAGAAGATCTCCCTCGCTCATGACTGGAAATTGTTTTTTCTTAATTACAACTCGAGCTCATGTCCGGGGCTGCGGGGGGACCCCATGGGTCACAAGGGCAGGGCCAAGGCATTTTGGTCTACAAATGCTGCGCCTTTCACCAGCCCGACTCCTTCAACAGATTACATCTAAAAAGATGACAACTGCCTTGGAAATGTCAAGGACAGCTGGCGCGCTCTCGTTCCGGGTTCAGAGCAGGGCCTGTCTTGTTACAAGATGCTGAGCAGCCCTCTGCCTTCAAGGTCTGACAGCATCAGCCGGTGATAAGCAGGGCTAGGTTTCTCAGAAACCGTGTTGCTGCAAAATCATCTCAGCAATGCTGACCAGAAACCTCCAGCTTGAGTGAGTGTGCCCTTGTGTGAGGTAATTAATGACATGGGGTCTTTCCATCAGCAAAGGTGGGAGAGGCCCTGGCAGGCTGGGCTTTGCAGTTCCAGCATAGAAAAGCCTGGCTGTGAGGAGCGGGCAGTGAGCTGGGAGTGGCGCTCCTGGTAGAGGGATGGGCCTGGGCAAATGTAGAGAGATGGGAAGGCACGATCCACACTAAGGGAGCTGCAGCCTGACTCCAGGGCACCATTTTCATAGGACGGATTGTGAATGGTGCCCCTGGGGAGTTGTGCAATGGGTCGCACTGAGTCATGAGGCTGCAACAGCCACTCTTGGCTGCAGTAGAGAGAAGGAATATGCACAGGACATGGGGAAAGCTAGGAGTGTAAGATCCTCCACCCTCCACCCCACAAGGAGTCTTAATTTAGAACCAGATCTGCAATTCCGGTTGATGTGAAGCAACCACGCCACGGAGTTTCCCAGGAAGGGCATCTCACCAAGGACTGTACCTGTGTTATTTCTCTGGCATTCTTCTCGGGCTCATGCAACCTAAAAAGGAAAGAGACACACAGATAAAAATACCCTCACTATCTCAAGTGCTCATGCAAACTGATAAGAATAACATTTAGGCTCCATTTTCTATATGGGTTGAGGACATGAACGAAGGACTCATAACAGAAATACAACTGCATATCAAATGTTTGGACAAAGGGGTCAATCTCACTAAAAAGGAATTCTAAGCAATGCACTATCATTTTTTTAACCTACTCTATTGGCAAGGATCTTTAAAAATTATAATACTTGGTGCTGGGGAAGCTATGGTGAAATGAACTGGAGCTTTCATACGTCACTGGTGGGAGAGGCAAACCAGTACAATCCTTTTGGGAAGCAGCTGGCAAAATCAAGAGCTTGGAAGATGTCCTCATCCTTTGACTCATAATTGCACTTTTTTTTGGGGGAATTCAAAATATAGAAAAAGCTTTCAACACAAAGGCATTTGTCAAGGGCTGGATGGGGGAGGAGGTTTATGTCTTAGGGCTCTGCCAATTGGGACTGGTTAGGGAAATTAGGATAAATCCACAGATAAAGATTTAAAAGGTTTATGAGGAGGTTTTTTTTTTAAGTTAAAATTGCTTACATTAAAATGATAAGTGAAAAAGGAAAATTCTCTGTAGGATTATCTCAATTATGAAAAATGTGTGGATAACACTGGAAGGAAACATAGCAAAATGCAAACTGCAGTGGTCTTTGCATGGTATTTTTTTTCTCCTTTTTAGTTTCCCATATTCTCCAAATGTTCTGTATTATAAACATCTATGTATCATCATTAAAGAAAGAAAAGAAAAAGACCAAGATGTCCAAGTTAATCAAAGAAGTTGTTCGTGCACTTGCTTCTGTAATTGGAGGTCATGACTTGACTCACTGGAGGGTCACGGTCAAGGTGATGAGCAAACCAGAGCCACTGGCTTGGCAGAAGTTGTGTAAATTCTCAAGCCGGCAACCCCGGGGATGTTAGCATGGATAATGTCAGAAATGAGCAGTGGGGCTTGGCAGCAGGGTTATTAATGGATTTGGCATGAGTGCTTGGCTCTGAAAGCAGTTCTGAGACATGACAAGCCCCACGTGGCCACAGAAAGAACCCTCCAGGAGCAGGGGCACGTCTGCTGGGGAAGATCACGCAGATCTGTCCCCACACTACTGGCCTCCAGCCCTCCTGGAGCTTCCCACTGGCTGGCTGGTTCAAGTCCAACTCATCGCCCTGCTCAGAGTCCCACGTGGTCTGACGTGCTGCCTCCAGGCTAATTCACTGCCCTGCCCTCATGTACCCACTCATCTGCCCACCAGATATTTCGGGGGGGGGGTGGCATTTGATGTTATGTACTTCATGCTTCAATAGCAGCCTCGAAGGACCCCTTTGATCATTTTTCCTCTTGGCTAACTTTCCTGTTTCCTTCAAGACTCAACTATGGTGTCACCTTGTGATGGCTCTGCTGACAGTGCTGCGCTGGCTGGGCTGCCCCTCCATGACAATCTCAGATCTCCTGTCTATCTGCATATCTGGTTTCTATTGCTGTCTGCCTGCCTGCCTGCCATGCTTCCTCACCACATGTGCTCAAAAACAGTGACTTGGAATGAATGCCAGTCAGGCTGCCCCAGGGCCTTTGCATGCTCCATGCTGCTGCCTCTTAATCTGCTTTAATCCTTTTCTTCCTTCAGATGCTATTTTTAAACAGCCTTTTCTTGGGGAAATATTCACTGAACCCCCAAACTCCATTCTCAAAACATTGGGTTCTTCTCTTTCAAAGCAATTTCAGACAATAACCAATTATCATTTTCCCCATATCTGTGTCTCCCCTGGATTTTCCTATTTCAGTGAATAGCTCTACCATCGGTCATCCTGTGCTCAGGCTGGAGAAGTGGGAGTCAGTCCTGATTCTTCTCTCTCTTCCTTTACAGCTCTCATCTAATCCAACCTAGGGCTCGTCGGCTCCACCTCCAAAATATCCATCAAAGCCAGCCACCCCATCCTCTCCACCATCCGAACTCCCCTGATTCCTGAAGAACCTCCTCCTTGATCTCCCCACCTCTATTCCTGCTTCCCTGCCCTCCATTCTCCCTATCTGAAATGCATAAGTGATGTCATGTTACTTTTCTGCTCAGAATGCTCAACCCCTCTATAACCACTCCAAGGTGGTCAAGTGACACCAGCTCCAAGGCTCAGCTCGGCCAACTGCTCTAGGCTCCATCCCTCTCCTGCCTCTGCTCTGCTCCAGCTCCTCTGGCCTCCTCTGCGTTCTGTGCATGCATCTGACTGCTCCCGTCTCAGGGTCTTGGCACTGGCTGTTCCCTTTGATTGGTGCAGTCTTGTCCCAGATATTCCCTTGGCTGGAACCTCCTCATCCTTCAGTGATCTTCTAAATGTCACCTTGCAGACAAGCCCTCCCTGCTCGCCCCAGACCCCACCTCCTTGATCTGCTCTATCCCATACCTGGCTTCATTTTATCTAGTCAGCAGCTGCACCACATCCCTTATTAACTTTCCAGCTTGTCTGGTAACCTGTCTCCTCAGCGGACACTGAGCTTCACACAGGGAGGAACTGGGCCAGTCTCATTCACTGCTGAAGCCCCAGCACCAAGAACTGGGCTGGCACATCGTCAGCAGTCCATATGTATTTGCTGAATGAATGAATGAATGAATGAATGAATGAATCTTTCTCACTGGCTCTTAAGTGCCATGAGACCAGGGGTGGGCCTTTTCTGCTCCCCTTTGCAACCCTCTGCTCAAGGCTTGGCACTGAGTTAGGCTCAGTCCCGACGAATAAATGAAAGACTCAGGGAAGCCCTAAATATTCCAAGAATAAATGCAGTGAATGTCTGACAAGTGAATAAATGGCTGATCGAATGATCAGTGCCCCATTAAGGGAGCAGAGACACATTTTTCTCTCATCTGAGCTGGGGAAGATTACAGACAATATTCTGTCTGTACATTCCTAACCCAGGGAGTTAGAGAGAGCCAATCCCTCCACCAGCCCTGCAACCTGAAGAACCCCTTGAGCTCAAAGTGGCAGCCTCCCCGCTTGCAGCCTCCCTGAGGTGCTCAGCTGTTACTCACACCAACGTCCTCTGGAAAATGTCTGATCCCAGCAAGCCAAAGCCGAAGCTGGCTGCTACATGGGAAACCACCATTAGCACTCACTAGCTATTGCTTTGGTTTAGAGAGATGAAAGGGAGCAAGTGATCTCATGGCTCCCTTGGTAGGCTCACGCTGGAAAAATAAAAAACAGGCAGAAAACGGTTGGTTTCTCTGGGGAAGAAGAAATAGACAGCAAGAAGCATGGGAACAGTGATGAAGGCACTAGCTTTAGTACAAGAGATGTCGAGGCTGAAGTCATCATTCCGGTGCTTCCTAGCCGCAGGACCTCGGGAATGTCACGACTTCTCTGAGCCTCAATTTCCTCAACCATAGGATAGGGAATAAGAACCTTCTAGAACAGGGGTTCCCAAAGTGTGGCTGGGGAACAACAGCATCAGCACCACCTGAGAACTTGTGGAAATAGAGATTCTCAATCAGGGACTTTGGGGGTGGGGCCCAGTAATCTGTGTTTTAACAAGTCCTTTGGGGATTCTGTAGCACACTCAAGTTTGAAAAACACTGTTCTATGAACTTGGGACAGTGATAAATCATAGGGTTCCTGCAAGAATTAAAATCACAAGTGGGTTAATACACATAAAGGCATAGATAGTGCCAGGAGCACAGTAAGTGCTCAATAAATGGTAGCTGCTATTGCTGTTACTATTATCGACAATGTCCTATTCTTCCAGAAACTCATTGTCTAATCGGGGAGGTAAGACAAGTAAAAAATAATGACAACAGGGCCGGGCGCAGTGGCTTACGCCTGTAATTCCAGCACTTTGGGAGGCCGAGGCAGGTGGATTACCTGAGGTCGGGAGTTCAAGACCAGCCTGACCAACAAGGAGAAACCCCATCTCTACTAAAAATACAAAATTAGCCGGGGGTGGTGGCGCATGCCTGTAATCCCAGCTACTCAGGAGGCTGAGGCAGGAGAATCATCTGAACCTAGGAAGCGGAGGTTGTGGTGAGCCAAGATCGCACCACTGCACTCCAGCATGGGCAACAAGAGCAAAACTCCGTCTCAAAAATAAAAAATAAAAAAATAACAACAAAAAAAACAAAAAAGAGAGATCCTCCTAGATGGGGCTGTGTAGCCACTGGGAAGCAGCATTTTAGGGATTCAGAGAAGGCAGAGTGGGACGTGCTACAGTGGTTTAGGATGGTATGCACTGATCCATTCATTCATTCGTTTGTTCACTTGTTCAGTCAGTAAACCTTTACTAAGCACCTATCCCATTCCAGGCATGGTGCCAAGTTTAGCAGCTATTTGCAGTGAACCTCAGGGACATTGGCCCTGGCCTTGAGGGGTGGGTTATGAAATGGGACAGGTGCAGAGACACCTTGAACACACCAGGGTGTCCACGCTGCGGCACCAGGAGGGTTCACAGGAAGCCCTCCGACCCTGGAGGATGTCGTGCCCTTGCTGATCTCAGGAGAAGCAGGAGGTGAGCAGGTGACAGGAGGGGTCCCACTCTAGCTACCACATTGCATAACTCCAGGGGGTGCCATTCACAGAGCCCACTGTGCCTGCCACCCCTGGAGCTGGGGGACCCTGGGTAGTGCATGAGCAGGGGCAGGGAGCACACCCCAGCAGTGAGGGCAGTGTGCAAGGGGGAGGAGGGCAGACTGTGGGAGGAGGGAAGGGGGGAGCACAGTGTGGTTGAGCCGTGAAATGTGAGGACAGGGGGTGGCTAGAAGTGAAACTGTTCAAGGCAACTGGACCACAAGGGGCCCAGGAGCCTCAGGGGGGCATCTGGACTTTATCTGGAGGGACAGGTAGAGCCACTGAAGGTTTTTTGGCAAAGGATATAAACGAGTCTTGCCCTTGGAAGAGTGACCTAGGTGTGGGAGTGTGACAGGCACAAGCATGACAAAAGGAAAACACATGTGCCCAGAAGGCAGTGAAGAGCCTAGTTTTGCTGGAGAGGCGGCTCTGCTTGTTCAGGGGAGGAAAAGGCCAGGAGGCTGGGCAGGGCTCAGACCAGGAGGCCCCCTGTGGAGATCAGAGCAAGAAGCAAGGCTTTATCCCAAGAGTACCTTGGACTCACACTGCTGGGCAGGAGCGGGGCACCTGATGCTTCCCAGAGCCTTCTCTGGCAGAAGAGCTGCTCCTGCTATATGCAACTGCTTTGCCTGATATTTGCCCCATCACTCCACCCATCACCTGCACCCCCCAACTCAGGATACAGCACTCCACTGCCCCCAACCTTGAGGTGGTCCTTAACCCTACAGCCAATCTATCAGCAAGTCCTCTTGTGTCTACCTTCAAAATATATCCAGAATCTGAGCACTTCTCAGCCCATCCCACCACTTTGGTCCAGGTCACCATCTTTTTCTGCTTGGACCAGTACCGCTATGGTCACCTACACATCCTCACCTCCTGTAGTCTGGGCTCCACATGTAGCCAGGCGACACTTTTAAAACAAAAGTCAGATCGTGTCCATCTTTTGGTTCCTCATCCCACTGCGGATAAAATCCCGAGTCCTTCTAACACCCACAGGCCCCACTCCAGATCATCATGTCCTATTCTGTAATTCTGAAACCCAGAAAGCTCTAAACCATCAAAAGATTGGCACTATGCAGTTGCTGGCAAAACCTGGTGTGAACCAACATGAAGCTATTTATAGTTTTATTTATCACTCTTAGCACGGATGTCCACATGGTTCTATGCAGATGGGTTCACATGGCAGATGATGGTGTGCTGCCTCTGCTCTGCTGGGGATGAAGATCAGAGGCCTTCCAAAAAGCCGATAAAGGCTTTTCACAGAATAGTTCGTAACACCTCTGACTGCAGGGGCATCTGCAAAGGACACCGGGATGCCGAGGACCTGGGTCTTCCTGACCTTATCTTCTTCCTCTCCTTCCCTCTGGCCCAGCACACAGGCCTCCTCTCTGGCCCAGCATGCTCCTGTCCAACATAGCTCACTAGTTTCAGGCACCCGTTTGCATCCCCTTTTCAGAGGCAGTCCCTTCCTCTGCCTAAGACAGCCCCCCACCATTCACCTCCATCTCCTTGCAGGGTAGGAGTTGTCACCACCTGATATGACACCATGAATCACTTTATTTCTGCGTTTATGCCTGTTTCTCTCACCGGCGTCTGAGCCCCATGAAAGCCTGGGCTGATTCTTGTTTACTGCTATATCACCAGCTGGTCCTGAGCAGGGCTGGCACATAGTAGGGACTCAAGTCACTAAAAATGTGAATCAACAAACTAAAGTGCCATCGGTGACGTACATCAGTGATGTAATGTCACCGTCTGAGCCTCTGACCAGGCTGTGAGCTTGCAGAGGGCACAGATTCTATCCTACTCATCCCGGCATTCCAGGGTCACAGCACGCCAAGGTACTCAATAAATATTTACTAAACAAAGGAAAGAGTAAAGTATACAACTTGGATCTGGGAGGATGCATCCGGTGGCGTGTGCAGGATGTCTGTGAGGACAGAAAGCCCGGGAGGTCTCTGCCCCAGTCCACATGGGATTAGACAAGGGTCTCGTTGTCTGGGAAGAGCAGGCAAGAAATTAGCACCTCTGTGCACCAAAAAAACCCCTCATTTGGGACAATAATTAAAAACAGCGTGACCCAGTGTGAGGAGGTTACAAAGGAGAGAAAGAGACATGTTGACCAACACATTGGTGAGGTCAGTGGACATGGATTATGCTTTGTAGTCTGGGGGGCTGTCAAATAACCAAATAATAACTGCAAGAGGGTCTGGACCAATGATGCACTTACCTTGTAGAAGAAGTGGAGCCCTGGGCTGAAAGACAAAAGAAACAAAAGCCAGTTGTTTAACTAGAAGCACACTTTTCTTATGTAACTATTTTTTGGCAAAAGGTTTGCCTCCAGGGACATGGAGAGGAAATGCTGTAATCACATCCTTGGAACCACAGGAGACCCCCATGCCCACCCAGTGGGCATCCTCTTCCACCAAGGAAGCCTGGGAAGGAGTAAGCTAGATGGTCCTGCTTTTCCACTTCTGGAAGTTGCCAGGGGTCCAAAAGCAGCCTTCAGCCTGGGAGGCGACAACCGCCCTACCTCTGTCTGGGTCTCACCTCCATTCAACCACAAACCTCAGCGGAGACCCTCCAACAAGCCTAGGTCCCAATCAGTGCCCTTCGTGGCTTGAAAACAGATTCTAGCAGGGCTGCAAATCGGGGATCATGTGTGAACCCCGGGTCTGCTACCCACTCACTCACCATGTGACCCCGGGTGGGTCACTTCCTCTCTCTCAGCTTCTATAACTTGCAGGGTTGGGCTGAGCATCCATTTATTTACATGCCACCACTTTCCAAAAAAAGGATCTTGGAAGGAAAGAAAGTGTCCATCTGGTTCAGAGGTTTTAAACCTGTGATATGGGGTAACCCACAGAGAAGCCTCCAGGGTTCAGCAGCCGTTTGACTCCCATTTTGCTGTAAAATTGTAATTAAAAAGCAACATGCACACCCAAATGCACTCTGCACCGCACTTTAATAGGCTGGAGGCTGCCACAGTGCAAGAATTCTTGCTGCTGGGTTAACGCTTGCTGCCTGGGCAGGTCCTGGATCTTTAGATGAGGTGTACCAGTTGGAAGCTGTGCTCAGCACCGAAAGTCTGAGTGGAGGCTGACAGGTTGCAAAGTGCTGGACACAAGTCATCTCTGGGAATCCAGTGATAGGACACCAGTCACCCCCTTTTACACCAGAGAGACTAGGTGACTCCTCAGGGTCACACAGCTGGGTAGTGGTTGAGTTGAAATCAGGACATTTCACTGTGAGCATTGAGAGGCTGGGCAGACCCCTCCAGGGCCTAATGAGGGAGAAGGGGGGTCTAGTTATGGCGGAGGGAGGTAGTGTGCAAGGTGGTCCTAGACATGGTCCTTGGGTTTAAATTCTGGCCCCACCACCTCCTGGCTGTGAGGCCCTGAACAAGTTTTATAACTTTCCCATGCCTCAGTTTCCTCATCTGTAAAGTGGGGTTAGTAATGTCACCCATGAGGTCTGTGGTGAGCACTGACTGTTACTACAGGGAAAGCACAGTGAGCAGTGCCTGGCACATTGGAACTGCTGGGGGATACTAGCCGTCCCTGTCACTGGAGCCTGTGTTTGAGAGCTAGGCTCTGCACACAGACCTGCCACTCGGGCTGGGTGGCCTTTACCAGAGCTGCAGCCCTGCAAACTCCATTCCTCTGCAACACCTAAGCCCACAGTAATGAGCTCACGTGTGCCAGGAGCTGGCGTGCTGCCTGGGCCTGAGACTCAGAAAGGATGGCCAGGATTTCACTATCGGCTGCTATGAATGCTTCATCCCATGGGATGGGCTGTCACCCTTGGTGGGGAAGGGACCTGCTTCCCCATCCAAGGAGGAGTCCTCCCTGTGTGGGGCTCTCCAGGAACTTTAGGGAACCCATTGGGTAGACGTCTTGGTGGGACGTCTTGCAGATTCTGGAGAAGCAGGGCCTGACTCCAACCCTCCCAGACAGAAGCATCAGGCTTGGCCAGTATCTCAGAGCCAGCCCAGGAGGGAGGGAAACTTGGGAGGCAGAGGTGAAGGAGCTACTGAAGGGATGCGTGATTAGTGTACAATGTGCCCAACCAAGCTCAGCTGTGCCAGGCCACAGAAAGGCAGCTCGGGACAGCACTTGTCCCTTTGGAGGCGGTGGGTCACAACCAGCATTTTAAACAGAAAAAAGAATATGACAAAAAAGAAAATATCAGTTTTAATTTTATATACAAAGGGTGTGTGTATGTGTTGGGTTGAGATGTGAAATGTATTTCTATCTCTTGTAATAAAAAAAGGTTGCAGAAATACCAGCTTAAAATTGTCTTCTCCAAGAGTGGGAAAGAGAACATGTATTTATGGCGATCCTAGAATGTGTCAGACCCGTTATTTCACATGGGCTTATTTGGATCTTGTAACTTCTCCAAGACAGGCGTTGCTAAACCCATTTTACAGATGGGGAAACTGAGGCTTGTAGAGGCCAAATTGATTGTTTACAGTATATAACCAGGGTCTGGAACCCTGGTTTGTCTGACTTCAAAGTCAGAGGCCCTGCCACAGCAACAACCAACCCTCCCAACAACCAGCACACACACACAGACACACACGTAACACGTGCACACAAACAAGGGGAAGCGGTGTCCTGGGTTTGACCCTGTGCCCTCCTGCTGTGCAGTCAAAGGCTATGCACCTTGCCCTGTGAGGGGGCTTTCTAGGGAGGTGGCTCATATTTCTGGGCTCACATACAATACGGGTAATAATCAGGGCTGACATACATTGAGCACTTGTGTGCCAGGTTACTTCCCTAACATTTCCCATGCAATCACTTGTTAAGTCCTCCCAATCAAATGGTGGCGCTATTATCTCCATTCCCTCTGGCCTCCTGTCCAGGGACTGGTCATGTAACCTAGACTTGTACCAGGAAAGCAGAAGTCTGCCGGGAGGCTCCTGGGAAAGACGATGTCCTCCCTGAGACAGGTAAGAAGAGTCCCTGCCTCCTCTCTTCCCAGGCTGGCAGCTCCCTTGCTCAGTAGTGGCCCCTTGAGGACACGGGGCCTGGGGCAGTGATGAACATCTTGTAACCATGAGGGGGAAGCCACAGAGTGACCCACCCAGACTCTAACATGGTGAGGCCACTGCCCCAGCCCTAGCACCACTACCTCTGGACTTCTTGCTACTGGCAGAAGCTGATGTCCTTAACCCAAAGCACCTAATGGCGTCTCCCTCCGAGGACAGTCCAGGGACAAACCCTTAGGGAGGAAGAGGGGAATGCACCCACCTTTCTTCTGTCTGATTCGGACGAGGTAGAGGGCCGCCATCAGTAGGGCCACCAGCAAGGTGCACACCACACCCACCACAATATAGATGTTCCGTTCATTAGATCCAGTGTTCTCTAGGGACCACATGGAATAGAGGCTTCACGTATGCAGATTAAAAACAGAAAACCAAACCCACCACTGCTTTTCACCACTAAGCAGGCATCATTAACTGAGAACATCTGGCTGGACCTTCTTAGATGTCTCGAGCCACATGGGCACACTCATGGGTCTGTACACACTTGCCCACGAGACTCATCCATGAACAGCACAAAAACCATGCTGAGGTGCCAGGGGGGAATATATTTGTAGCTGACAGCTACGGAGGAACCCCTGCTGCAGGATACAGGCAGAAATCTCACTCCTGAGGAACAGAAACGTTCCTTCTCATCTGGAGTGAACCACAGAGCGGTCATGAGGGCACCCCAGATCCACTGGAAACTGAATCAGCAGCTGGAAGAAGGGCAGTGCGGCCAGCAGGCTCTGCACAGCTCAGGGGCTGACGACCGGTCTGTGCCCAGCACCTGGGCCATGCACACTGGGCTCAGGAGTTAGCATAGGGGCTCTGAACCAGGACTCTTGAAAATACAATGGAGGCTTGACTGCCCACAGCACAGGTAAGGGGGTCATAGACTAGAACACAGTGGTTCATCAGAAGCAGGGCTCTAAGCCACAGAAAAGTGCTTTCAAATCTATGCTACTAAGTAGCTGTGTGACCCTGGACAAGTCAGTTAAGCCTCCCTCCAAACCCTGGCTGCTTCTTCTGTTACTGGGGCCAACAGTCATCTCTACCTCATTGGCTAACTAAGGATTATGTAACCAACCAACCAACCAACCAACCAACCAACCAACCAACCAACCAGCCAACCAACTGACTCTTTTATCCTCTTTCACTCAAAAAGCATTTACTGAGTGCTTACTGTGGTCAGGCCCTGAAGCTACAATGCTGAGCAAGATAATCATGGCCCCTACCAGCTGAGACTCAGAGCTGAGGGGTCATGAAGCTCATCCCCTTCAACACAGCCAGAAGCAAGTGGAGGCCCAGAGAGAGGCACTGACTTGTCCAAGGTCACACAGCCAAGTATGCAACATAGCTGGCGTGGAAAGCCACACATCCTGTCTCCCAATGCCCTACACATCCCATGAAAACCTGGCATTGCCCAATGCCCTACACATCCCATGAAAACCTAGCATTGCCCAATGCCCTACACATCCCATGAAAACCTGGCATTGGCCGATGCCCTACACGTCCTAGGAAAACCCGGCATTGGCCAATGCTCCACACGTACTATGAAAACCCAGCATTGGCCGATGCCCTACACATCCTAAGAAAACCTGGCATTGGTGAAACCAAAGGGCCACTTTGACACAGCCCCAAGGCTGTCTTTGAGAGCTTCCCTGAAGGGTGCATGAAGGACAGAAATGGCTTCCATTCTAATCCATTCAAGGGTTCTACTATGTACAGGGCATCAGCCACATTGATAACAGGTGATGAAATATTCCATGGCTGCACTGAAATGCCAATCAGGTGCCACCATTTGAAAACAAAAGAGATGTACACCAACACCACGTTGCAAGGGCTGAGAAAATGATACCTTGACACCCTCACACTCTCTCAGGGGAGCGACAGCATTATCTCCTCCTTACATGAGTATGCATTTTGGCCTAAAGTGTTCCTTGGGCAATCACACAGAAATAGTCACATGTGGGATGGAACATGCACAAGGATGTTCACTGAAGCACTGACTGTATGTGAGACAAGCTGCAAACACCCTGAATGACTCCACCCTGGCTTCCAGTGGGGCAGGCTCCCAATGGCAGCCAGGGAGATGAGGCAGGGGCTAGAAAGAGTAGGGAAGAGGGGCTGGGCCAGTGAGGAATGGGGAGCATGACAACTGTCAGGTGAAGAAGGCAAGAGGCAGGACACCATGAACAGATGGGCCCCCTCTCTCCCTCTTTCCTCCTGTGATATAAATCTATGTCAAAAGATCTATCAAGATGTGCATCAAACTCTTACCAGTGGTGACTCTTGGAGTGTGGGATTTGGGGAAATGGAGCTGACATTAAAATTCTACTTTATATTTATAGACTTCTAGATTGTTCTATAATAAGCATGAATTACTACTTTTAACATTTAAAAAACCCACAAAACTAAAAGTTTAAAAAAGCTGGGTCAGCTGAAATAGAGGCCTCACCAGCGGCGGTATTTGAGCCCTGCTCCTTCGGGTGGGCTGAGACCTTCAGGTCATGGCTTTTGCTGACCGCTGGCTGCCCGTCATGCTCCACCTGGCAGGTGAGCTTCACATCATCCCTGTGGGCAGATACATTCACCAGGAGCCAGCTCATCCAGTTGTAGGTACCATCCTTGTTCTCTGTAACGGTTGAGGCCGTTTCTGTCCGGGACACGTTTCCATTCTCCAACCAGGTCAGCTGTAGTCTCTGGGGGTAGAACTTCCTCACCTGGCAGGTGACATTCACCTGGTTCTCTGCCCTCACGGGCTGTTGAGTAACCTCCAAGGTGGGTGGAACTGAAACAGCACAGGGCAGAAGCTCTGACCTTGTGGCACAGACAGATCACAGGGAGGGCTCCATAACGTAGCTCCCCCACCACGGTGAGGTCATCACCAGGACAGAGCTAGGCAGGCATCAGGTGCTCAGACATTGAGGGTGCTCTTTGCATATGAATGAAATTACTAAGCACAACGCCCAGCACACAGTAGGTGCTCAAGGACTGGTAGCTCCTACTAGGCTAAGAATGAGGGAAATCTATAAGCACCACCCCTGGCATGCAGTTGGAATGTTGTAACTGTAGCAAAATAAAGAAAATCACCAAGCACATAGAGGCTTAGTTCATAGTAGGTACTCATTAACTGTGTTTGCTATCAGTGAAATAAATGAAACGGCTAGCACAGTCCTTGGCACCTGGTGGGTGGTGTGGTCACCCAGCCACTGCCATTAAAATGTTAGTAAGTGGCTGGCACATCTAGGGGCATGGGAGGTGGGCAGTTAGGAATTTAGGTTCCAGGCATTTCAAGCCCTGGAGCAAGAGTAGAGCTGGATGAGTGGAGGGTGGTGGGGGGTGGGCTTGGCGGTCAGGTGTGGGCTTGGGCTGGGTGAGGGTCTTCTACCTCGGATGGTCTCAGACAAGTTGGCAGTCCCACGAAGAGGGTCCCCCTGCAAGGTGACGTGGGCCACCTCGCAGATGACTTGAGAGTGAACGTCCTCGCGGGTCAGCACCACCTTGGCTGTGCTGTGGATGCTGTAGGACACGCTCTCTCCTACGGGGTCCACGTTGGTCTGGAAGTCTGAGAGCTCATTCCCATTTTTGAACCATTTCAGGGTGATGTCTCTGGGTGAGAAGCCGTGGGACTCGCAGGTGAAGCTCACTGTGTGCTGAGGTGTGGCCCTCGCCGCAGGGCCCGATACCACGGGGGCAGAGGGTTTGGCTACAAAAGGACCATCGATAATCAGGAGACATGACTCAGATGACAATCACTAACGATAAGTGTGTGACACGTTAAGAACCTTCTGAGACATTATTTTTTATCCTTCCAATAATGTGGAAGGATTAATGAGGGCGGTGTCCTTATTGTCATTTTACAGAGCAGGATGCAAAGGTTGGGAGAGGTGAGGACCCATGTGAGGTCAGACAGTGTAGGGGCAGGGCCCAGAGGGAAGTCCAGGCCTGAGTTCAAACTTCTCCACTCCACACAGGGTGACTTCCAGCAATTTGGGCACAGGATCAAAATTAACGATCCATCTCATCCTTGGTATTAACTGTTTCTACCCTGCCTCCCCTGGCAACAGTGCCAACCTCAGAGAGAGCGTTTATAGAGGTCAGTGCAGGGAGTAAGCAGCAACGTGGCATCACCATGAGAGCTGGAACCAGGCCGCTCAGCCCATGAGAGGGGCGGCCTGGCACACCCAGCTCCTTGTCTGTAAAATGGAACAGCAGCATTTCTCCTTTCTGGGATGCAGCGAGGATTAAATGAGGCAACAGAAGCAGTTTTGCTTTGGATAAACACAGAAGATGCTTCACAAAAATAAGCAAAAACAGATCTAACTTTAACCCAGACTTTATTCATATCCAAAGCTCTCTCTTCAGGTATTTATGAATTTACTTCATATTTTTCATTTTCTCCACAAATATTCCAGCAGGGTCTAATCTGTGCCAAGTGCTAAATTTGAAAGGAAGGGATACTTTTCTGAATCTGCGGTCTTCTTTGGTGTCAGTTTTAGATAGACACTAAAGATCACCAAGTGTGGAGAAAGCCAAAGTGGTTAATTATCAATTAATTACACAGACACAGGGCGCCCAAGCAGGCAGAAGCACTTCCTGGGTCCTGAAAGCACACACATGGCTGAATCAGAACGCGGGCTGTTTCTCCCTGCAGATGGGTCGTAAACGTGTCTCCAAATTGCTAATCATTACCCCATACCTCCTATCGCAGTCACCAGGAAGCACATATCACACATACTTGCATTTGTAAATATTAACTTCTCCCTCACACCCATCAAACATTTTGAGGGCACAGTAAGGAGGGTGTCACTTGAAGAAGTCAAGTCATTGAGGCCAGCGGCCTGGATGTCCCCACAGGGCTGAGGGGCTGCAATCAGTTCCCATTTATCCAGGGCTTCTCTGGAGCTGGACACTGGCTGCTCCCTCCATGCCCGTCAGCTCTTTAATCCTCACTCCATCTCTGTGAGGGGATCCTCGTGTGAGCCCCTTTTAGGACAAAGCTCAGAGAGGCCCAGGGCCAAAAGTGGATACAAACCCCACCCTGTTAAGAAGAGGGAGGATGAATGCAAGCACAGAGCCTGGTATGCAGCAGGTGCTTAATAAATGACCCCTGTGACTGTTATCAGGAGGTCTGGTCATTACTGCTTCCGAATCTACACATTTATCCTTCAGGCAGCAGAACAAAGCAGAGCAGAAACACCAAGAAAAGGCTCAAACCCTGCTCCCTGTGGCTCATGACAAACCCAAATGATACAAGGAGCAGAAACCACCAAGTGAGGATTCTCTCCCCTTTTCTAAACAATCCCCTCAGGAAACAAGTTTGGCGAATTGGCTTTCAAAACACAAGATCACAGGCGCCTCCCTCCAGAAGAGCCATTTACAGAAGCTGGAAGCATTTTAAAGGAGGAGGGAACAGACTCCTCCGTGACATCTTGGTGTGTCGAGGCAGGGAGGGTTCTGGGGCCGAATTGGAAGGATTTGCTGGGATTCCGGCGGTCATTTAGACAAAAACATTTTCAGGATGGAAGGTTTCCCCACACTGAGGCTGGATCTGAGCAGGGCTTTGTCTGGGGCCCCTACCTTGGCCCCCGAGGCCTGTATCATAAGAGGGGGTCTGGCCAGGCCACTGGGGCCTCCAAAGAGCTGTCCCGGGTGCACGTTGTTCAGAAGCATCCACACCCTGAAAAGCTGTTCTCCCATCTGGCACCCCAAGAGGACCATCTTTTCCAACTTGTCCTCCGTGACCTCTGGGTGTCTATCCCAGGGGTTTTCAGTCCTGACTCTGTATTAGAATCTTCTGGATTAATTAAAAACTTTAGATGCCTAGGCCCATGCCAGGCCAATTGAAGAGGCATTTCTGTGGTGGAGCCTGGGATTTATTTCAATGTTTCCCAGATGATCCTAAAGAGCAGCCAAGATTGAAAACTACCTGAGTACATCCTAAGGACCATTTATCCTTGAGGCCTGGAGGAGCACTAACCCATCTGAGGTTGCATGGCTTCAGCATCACACAGCTCACATCTGTTGAACATTGACTGCAGGCCAGGCGCCTGCTGCCCTAAGCACGCTACAGGATTTAACTCATTCGGTCCCAACTCCTGGTCTGTGAGGTTGGTGTTATCACTGACAAGTGAGGACACTGAGGCCCATGGTGGTGGAGTGCCTTGTCCCAGGTCACAGAGCCAGGAGGTGGCAGAGCTGGGATGTGGCCCAGGCAGTTGGACTCTGGCCACACTCTCCTAACCACACTTCTGCAGGAGCTCAGTGATAACCCGAACACCGCCACCATTCCGAGGCTCTGTACATCCTCTCCAATCCTCACAGAACCTGTGAGGGTTGGCAATCATCATCATCATTTCATAGACAGGGAAGCTGAGGACTCAAGGGAAGCCAGGATTTGCCCAAGATCACATGACCTTGGGAAAACCCCATTGCTTACTAAGGTCTATCGTCGCCCCAGGCTCATTGCATCCTCATAACATCCTGGAAAGGTTGGTACAATTATCGACGTTCTACGCATGGGGAAACTGAGGCTCAGCAAGGGGAACTGGGTTGCCCAAGGTAACACATCTTAAAATAACACCTTGATGGCAGGGCGCAGTGGCTCACACCTGTAATCCCAGCACTTTGGGAGGCCGAGGTGGGGGGATCACCTGAGGTCAGGAGTTTGGGACCAGCCGGGCCAACATGATGAAACCATGTCTCTACTAAAAATACAAAAAAAAAAAAAAAAAAAAAAAGCTGGTGTGGTGGTGGGTGCCCCTGTAATCCCAGCTACTTGGGAGGTTGAAGCAGAATCGCTTGAACCCAGGAGGTGGAGGTTGCAGTGAGCCGAGATGGTGCCATTGCACTCCAGCCTGGGCAACAAGAGTGAAACTCCATCTCAAAAAAAAAGAAAAAACAAACAAACAAACAAAAAACCTTGATTTGGGGGTGTCTACTCTGCATTGGGTGTTTTATACACAGGAACTCAAATCCTTTCCACTCTGCCAAAGGAGTCCCTGATTATCACCATTCTACAGATGAGGAAACTGAGGCTGAGAAAAGCGAAGGCACTGTCTCCTCATCCCTCATGTACCCAATGGGCATTTCCAGTGTTCCCCAAGCTCTCATGTCAATCAATTGAGCAAGTGCCTGAACTTCATGAACCCTGACACTGACCACCACCTTCCCTTTTTCCCTTTGAGATCCCTGACTTCATGCAGTTCTAGGGAGAAGCCTCCCTCCAGGGTACCCAGATCTGGTTACCCTATAGCCATAAACTGAAGTCAGTGGGCTCCTGACAGCCTGAGGGGATAATATAAACTCTTGCTCCAATGAGCCCCAAGCACCCACCAGGAAATGCCTCATCTCCTCATCCTTAGTCCTCAGCACCGTGAGTAGGTGGGCACGTGGTCTGCTGGGCTGCAGGAGGCCCAACTCTGCTCCATGGATGCTACTCAGTGATGTGCTGAGACCTGTCCTTTAGGAACAAGTTCCCATATCATGAGACATCTGCAGGACCTTTCTGATGGGGGCCAGTCCCTCCTACTCCCATAGGACTTGTTTTGTTTTTTCTTTCAAGACAGAATCTTGCTCTATCACCCAGGCTGGAGTACAGTGGTGCGATCTCGGCTCACTGTAATCTCCGTCTCCTGGGTTCAAGCATTCTCCTGCCTCAGCCTATGCTTATTGCTATAGAACTGCAAGAGTTTGGAATGAGTAGGGTGGAGCATTTC
The DNA here is from genome assembly GCF_000001405.40 of Homo sapiens. Taxonomy (NCBI): domain Eukaryota; kingdom Metazoa; phylum Chordata; class Mammalia; order Primates; family Hominidae; genus Homo; species Homo sapiens. Next base: position 1,917,382 of record NC_000020.11, on the reverse strand, counting down.
TCCACACTTTGACAAGCATAGCTGAGTGTTACAGAGACAGGGGCTGTGAGTCAGGCTGGTGGGGATCAAACCTTGGCTCCCCCACTGGCTCACCACACAGGTCTCCTCTCTGAGCCTCAGAGTCCTTATCTGTAAAGGGGGCAAGAAATGGCTCTTCCTTCATAAGTACTTGTTATAAAAGGAGAAAGTGCCAGGATGAGGATCCAATCCAGCTGCTGCTCCCTGGCCCCCTCCCACCTCCCTCCTTTCTCATCCAGGGCATCATTTAGGCTGACAGCATGGCAAAGAGGAGTGAGCACTCTGCTAGGAGTCAGCAGATCTGGGTCACACCTGAGCCACGTATTTGCTGTGATTGTCTAGGCACGAGATGCATCATCTGGGAACTTCAACGTCTTTTCCTGTAACATCTGCACAATCAGGATAAAGCCACCCTCCCTGCCTATGTCCAGCGGTTGTGGGGAGACTTGATTGTTATAATGTCTAGGAGGGAAATTAGGCCATATCCACACACATTAAAACACACACCCCCTCTGATCTAGCAATGGCACTTGCAGTGGGCGTCTCCCACCTGAGTAAGGTCACACATGTATAAGGTCATCCACTGCAGGACTGTTTTAATAGTTCAAGTTTGGGGACAAGTTACGTATCCATCAATGGAAGATGGTAAAATAAATCTGGTATTTCCATAAGCTGGAGTATTCTGTAGCTATTACACAATGGAGCAGGTCTCTATCCTGATATGAAATCTCAGTATCAAATGATATGGCTTACATTTGGGAGCGGTTTTCCAATCACCAGTGGGCCTAACGGTCTGAATGTGAATATTCTGAACCTTTAGGAAACTGATGGAAAGGAGAAGTGCTGGCTTCCTGCTTAGCAGTTCTGTTCAAGGAGCTTTCAGTCGGCACCTATGATGCACCAGGCTCTTCTATGTAAACAATGGCTAATGAAGGAGCCTCCCTGGAATCAGATGTGGGCTCTGGTCCAGATCCTGTCACTAACTGGGCCTATGACTGTGGACAAGGCCCCTGTCATCTCCTGACTTCAAGTTTCCACCTGTAACTAGGGGTTGGGCTGGATGGTCTGAGGGTCCTTCCTGTACTAATGTCCCAGGATTCGGAGTTAGAACAAGGATCCTGGGGCTCTGGCAGTAAATACAAAATGAGCATCTTTGCTGCCTTAACGGAGGAACCCAAAGTCACCTAGAAGGGAGACCTCCTCCCTGGGGTGAGAGACATTCTATGATGACCCAGCTTTGTTCAGAGCCTTTAGTGACGCATGAATCAGTCCCTAAATCACACAAGTGTTTTTCTAAAAGACCCACAGAAAATGCCCAACCCTCTGGCTTCTCCTCTCACCAGGGCCATCAGATTAAACAGTAAATCTGTGCCTTTTAGGAATCTTCTCAGTTGGTGTTTGGTGATGAAATAAAGGAAACACACCCTCTCTGCTCCCTGCCCTGGGTGGATCTCTTATTGGAAGGGATGAGAACACAAGCTTGGCGGAGCCTGGCACACAGTAGGTTCTCAGTGAGTGCCTGTCACATAGAGGAGACTCGGCTGCCCTGAGAGGGAAGTGCTCTCTGGAGGCAGCAGGTGAGGTCTGGTCCTGTGCCTGGGCAAGTCACACTATCTGTCAGTTTCCTCATCTGTGGAATGAAAGGGCTGGGTCAGCTTTGAAGAGGCCAGGGCTACACAGCCAGGCAGATGAAGGATGCAGATGTTCCCACCCTTTACCAGCTGTGGAGCCTTCAGCAAATAGCATGACGTCTTCAGGCCTCAACTTCCCTTATTTGTAAAAGGGGGAGACATCAATTCATGGAAAGGAGCACCTACCACCACACCTGATCATTGCTCAAAGAATGGAGGGTGTTATTATTGAGTTACTGTCACAAACCAGAGGCAAAGGAGGCCCACGCTGTACTCACCGCGCACAGACAGCTCAGTGCCTGCTCCAGACTTAAACTCCACGTCATCGGGGCTCCCTTTCCGGAACTTCACACAGTAGTAGGTGCCGGCATCTGCTGGGGTGATGTTACCGATGCGGATGGAAAAGTCCATGTTGTTTCTCTTTGTGAGGTCTGAAACAGTTGTTACCCGGGGGAAGTGGCCTTCTTTTTGATTGTAGATTAATTCCCGGCCTGGTCCAGCTCCTCTGAACCACTGGATGGGCCCCACAGGGATCAGAGAGGTCGCAGTGCAGCGCAGAGTGGCTGTCTCTCCAGCTGCAACCAACACGGACTTGTCAGGCTGAATCACCTGCAGCTCCTCCTCACCCGCCACTCCTGGAAAGGAGCACAAAGCAGTCATTTTTTCATCCTTACGTGATCCTCTGTGTTTCCTCAAGTGTTTATCAATGACGTTCATTGACTGGATGCACACCAGAAGCAGGCTGTGAGATCAGTATAGTGCATGTATCATCTCATTTGACCCTCACAACAAACCTGCAACATGAGCCTGTATTCTAAGTGGGGACACTGAGGCACAGAAAGCTAAATGACATGGCAGAGAGTGGGTTTGAATGCCTGGACCCTCTCTGGAAGAGTCACATCTGAGCTGGGCTAATTCTAATCTGAATGAGCCAGAAGGGAGCCTGGTATTCCAGACAGAGGGAACAGCCTGGGCAAAGACTCAGAGGTAGGGGCCTGGCATATCTGGGGCTGTACAAGGTGTTAAGATTCTGTTTCTGGCCTGGCCCAGGATGCAGGCCCCGAGAAGGGAGGCTGTACTCAGCGGTTTGGGCAGTAGGAGAATGTAGTTTGAGTTCTGGATCAGTGGCCTATAGCTGTGTCCTTGGGCCACCACTCAGGTAACCAAGAATATCCAATGTAGACTCGTGCCAGTGTGTTTGAGTCCCCACCTGGAACCCAGGACTGAGCCTGGCTAGCAAAGTGTCACACAAATGCAAGAGCTGCCCTTAGTTTGCCCTTACTGCTCTCAGCCTTGGTTTCTTCATCTGTAAAATAGTTACTATGACCCCACCTCGATGGATCTCTGGGAGGATAAAATAAGCCAAGGCTGGGGACAGCGTCCAAATGCAGCATCTGGTCTTTAGAGTCATCGGACCTGGTTTGAAACCTGGCTCGCCCCTTGTTCTTGTGGGACCTTAATTTATCCATCAGTTTTGAGTCTCAGTTTTCTTATCTACAGGATGGGTAGAACAGCCCCCAGGCCTCTGCTTTGTTCTGAAAAGAAAACGAGATCACACATAGAAGTCACTTAGCCCTGAGATGGGCCCTGAGGAAGTTGTTGTTACTATACATTGAATAAACAAGGAGGTGGCTGTGGCTCAAACTTCACTCTCACCAACACCTGCTGATGCCCTGTGATCCAGGCCTCACTGTGATGGGGACACACTGGAGCTGGACCCAGTCCAGGCCTCAAGGGCTCCCAAATGGGCAGCTGGAAGGAATTGTAGAGGTTGGCTGCAGGAGCCTGAGCCCCAATCAGAGACACTGGGGCACACAAGACAGGGACCCTGGGTGGAGAGATTGGGGTGCACGGGGGGAGCCCAGACAGGAAGAGGGCAGGACGAGCTTGTCATGAGATGCGTTGAAGATGGATAGGGACCAAGTGAGAACAGTTCAGAGCAAGGCAGAGCCAGGGCCTCGATTCTGAACAAGGTGAGGTACAAGAAACAAAAAAAAGAAAGATCATGATCATAAAGACCTCAGAGAAACACATGCCTGAGAGACAGACGCAGAGTGAGAGAGCGAGCTAGAATAGGGGAGAAGGAGAGAACCAGGTAGACAGAGGAGTGGCAGCTACCTGGTATGCAGGTGACAGGTGACCTGGGGCCCCAGTTGGGCTCTCCACTGACCCTTCATGTGACCTTGTCCTGCCCTGACCTGGGCCACCTTTGCCTTGTACATCAGACAAGGCTGCGGCAGATGTCCAGAGCTGCTGTGCCCCTCTGGCTCTGGCTGGGGAGGAGAGAGACCCTGTGAATTTGCCCACCAACCCATGGCCTGGCACCACCCCACTGGCAGGGGCAGGGCAGCCAGGGAAAGAGGCTCACAGACCCCTATCTGCCCTCACTGCAGGAAGCCCAGGGCTATCTGCCCATTGTCCTGCCTCTTTCTCCCATTCCCAGCCTCACCCAGTCTTGACTCTGGCAAGGGATCACCCTTGGGGCCCGGTTCTCATGGCAGGTGAGTGGAGTCTCAGAGTGCCTAAGACCACTCCACCTGCTTTGGGTGTAAATATTACCATTTCGACTTCCTTTTCCTGATCAACCACTTAAGACCTCAACTGCTTTTATTATCAGGAAGTCCAGCTTCTCATTTCATTTCCATTTGAAGTTGAACATGGCAAGATCTTCATGGCACAGGAGAAAAAAACAGAACCCACAGTGGACAGACAGAACCCACAGTGGACAGAGGCCCAGCCAGCATCAGACGGCCTGAGAGGGGTGAGGCTGGTGGCCAAATGTGTGGGAGGCCCGGGAGGCCCATCCAGGCGGGGACATCAGAGGCAGCACCAGCAGCACTGAGCTAGGAACTTTCCGGATAGGTCTGTATTTCAGCCTCGAGACTGGACCAACTGGAAAGGCTGCCTCGGGGAAGCACAGTTGCTAGGGCCAGCAGGCCTGGGTGACAGCATGGCTCCCCTCTTAGCCACCTCTGTACCCACCTTCCCTGGACCCCCATTCCATCATCCATGAAGTGGGGTTCCGGCATCCACCCCAGCACAGTCATGAGGACCCTGACACGGTGGTATGCCTGCTGCATAGGTGCTGGGTAAGTTTTAATTCTTATTCCCATTATTATCACATAGCTGTATTATTCACATATTTGATTTTCTCTGGATTGTCACATTCCCAATAGTAGGATGTAGGATCCACAAGGGACTGTTTCCAACCTCCTGCCTAAAACACAGTGTCATCGATAAAAATATGCAGAATGAATGCGGTAATGAATGAAGGAAGGAAGGATGTCGTTGGCTCCATGACCCTGGGCAAATCTCCTCTCTCTTCATGTGTTAGGTGGAGTTGATACTGGCATATCCAGGGGAGGGTGCAGGCCCGGAGCCCGGGACTCAGCCTGGCTTGCAGTTATTATTATCCTTATCAATAACACCACAAGGGGCTGTGAGTCAGCAGTTGGTGAGGGAGCAGGAGGCGCAGGAGAGGCTGCGGAGTCAGGCGTGCAGCATGTTGGAGCAGGGCTATTCTTGTGGTGCAGCCGGAGGCCTGTAATCACACCCCAGGCAGGCGACAATAAAATCTGGAGTTGTGTAGCGCTGGCTCCCCCATTTTTTTTTTAGCTCCTCTCGAGCTCTCTCCACCGACTGCAGCCAGATTTAGGCGGCTTAATTAATTAGCTAGTGTTTATAAAGCGTTTGAAGAATTTTAAAAGTGCGACGTAAGTGCCAAATATTATTTTAATCTGTGTATGTGTATGTTTTTTCCAGTAGAGAGGGGTTTTTTTTTTTTTTTCCTTGCTTGCTTTCTTTTTCTCTGCAGGTTCTGTTCTGAGAATCAGGCTTGTTAAAAATCACTCCTGGCTCTGGGTCTGGGGTCACTTGCTGGCCAAATTATTTCCTGCTTTCTCTTGCCCTCCTAGCAGAGGATGCGACTGTCCAGGGGCCTGAACCGTCTCAGGGAGAGGAGGGCGGCTGGGCAGGCATTCCCACGCACTGCCGGTGGGAGGGGAAATTGGAACATCTTTTCGGGAAAGCAGCTTGGCAGGATGAACCAAAGGTGTGAAATCTGTTCACCAGCCTTTGCTGGGCTGCTCCCTGAGGACGTAACCCCAGATATGGAGTAGGTTTCCTGTATAACGATCTTAAAGACATTAGAAAAAGCCCAGCCGGTCAATGATAGGGGATGGTTAAGTGAATTACGGCCTATCCCCTATGTGGAATTACAGGCAGCCGTAACAAGCCATTACCATGAAAACGGTGGTCATATAGAAATTTTCATGGCATCATTTTAAATAATATTGTGTTTATGCAAATAAAACCTGTTCATTGCAAGGCATTTAGAGAAAATAAGTATGGAAACAAAGTAATAATCTCACATCATACCATCAAAGATAACTGTAATCAACATTCTGATGTAGTAAAAATATGAGTGAAGAAAAACAATCTAACATCATACCTTTAGGTAACTAAGAATATGTGCAGACATTTTGCTTCATTCACTTAAGTGTCTGTATGAAAATAAAAAATTGAAAATATCCTAATATCCAAGGAAAGGAGATTGGCTGATCCCATTATGGTGAATCTACTTTCACAGCTATAGGCCAAGTCTATAGCCATGAAAATGATGGTATAGAATTACAATGGAAATGTGTTACAAGATCAGAGTCTGTTACCAAGTAGTAGATCCAGTGTGATCCCAAACTCCCAATTTTAGAAAAAAACAATGATATTAAAGATTAGCCATGATTGAGTGGTAGATTTACATGGGATTTTGCTCTTGTTTATGTTTTCTGTTTGCATTTCTTTTGTAAGAAAAAAAAAGATGGAGAAAAATCTATACCCTCTGTATGATCATGACTTTGTAAAATAAAACTATATATAAACAACTGGAGGGTATTAAACAAAGCTATAAAATGTAACTCTCTTTGGATCATGAATCTAAACCTCATGAGGTTTTTCTCTTTTTTTCCCCTCCTACTTTGGGCATTGTTTCAGCTTCTCTAAATTGGATGAACACAAAAGAATATTTATAGTATCTCATTTTGTTTTTTAAAAAACCTGTACATGTAATGATGTATGTTACCGTATGTGTACTGTTTAAATGAACCTCTCCTCCAGGGATTTAGTCTGTTTTGTTCACTGTTTCCCCAGCTCCTGCTACTGTGGTTGGCACAGTGTAGACGCTCGATAAATCTTTGTTGATTGGTCAATCGCATGTCTAGAGAAAAAGGTCTGCAAGGATGATAAGTTAAACATGGCATGCTGTGGTGTGTTGCATCTGGGAAATGGGACTGAGGTAGGATGGGGTCGGCATGTTTTCTTATTACTTTATAATACATCATATATTGTATTTTTTTGCAGTGAACATTTATTGGTTTTGGAAAAAAGTTAAAAAGTAATGAAACAAAACACACGAACACGTTTCCTAAGGGGAGCAGTCAGCACAGTGGGTGGTCACCATATGTTTGCTGTAAGAGGAACTCAGTGTCCACAGCAAGTGCGGTCAGTGCTGCATTCTGGATCCTTCCCTGTGCCAGGCCCTGAGCTAAGGGCTGTGAAATGGCTGTGTCCCTGGCCTCATGGAGCTTCCACCCTCGAGGCAAAGATGGATTTCAAAGAAATCACTCAAATGATTACATCTGGAATGTACCTAACCCCCCTGGGCAAGAGGCTCCTGCTGGCATCTTAGATCCCATCTCCCGGCCCCTTCCTGTGACCTGCTTCTCCCGCCACATCTCCTTTCTCTTCTTTGAATTGGCCAAGGAGGGTGTGACCACCTGCATTGAATGCCACTGAGAGATGCAATAAGATGGGGGCTGAGAACTGACCACTGGGATTTAGAAAATATATTTGATTTCTTAAAAAACAATGTTCATGTGTGTGGCTTTTGAGATTAAAAGATGAAAATATTTCATAAAGGGTGAAAAAAATTAGCATGGATACTTTTTTTTTCTTTTGAGACGAAGTCTCACTCTCATCACCCAGGCTGGAGTGCAATGGCACAATCTCGGCTCACTGCAACCTCCACCTCCCGGGTTCAAGCAATTCTCCTGCCTCAGCCTCCCAAGTAGCTGGGGTTGCAGGCGCCTGCCACCACACCTGGCTAATTTTTGTATTTTTAGTAGAGATGGAGTTTCACCATGTTGGCCAGGCTGGTCTCAAACTCCTGACCTCAGGCGATCTGCCCGCCTCAGCCTCCCAAAGTGCTGGGATTACAGGCATGAGCCACTGCGCCCTGCCCACATGGATGTTTTTTCTAATAGAAAAAAAAATCAACTTAGAACTGAAGCTTGAGGCGGGGATGGGGAGGGCTGCCTTACCCTGGGGTGTGAGTCTTCCAGAAGCCTGTCTCAAGGGGTGGGGAGAAGGAAGCCAACAGGCACATTTCCCAAGAACCAGCCTTGCCCAGGCGGGTGCTCACTGCCACTGCATGGGAGCTTGCCCATCCCCCGGAAGCAGTGGGTCACCACAGCACAAGCCACAGGGACAGGCAGGAGGCCACCTGTTTGGATTCTTTGTAGATTCTTTGTTTGTACTCAAGGACCCCCAGGGTCTGGGAGGCTATGGCTGGAGCTCTGGCAGTACACAGGGCTCAACATTCTAAAGTGGCTGCAGTGATACCCGGCTCCCTTCTTCCCTCATCATTATTGTTATTCACCATCCTCAGAAGGCTGCGATTTTCCACCCCGCACTTATAGCAGCTCCTCATCGGGGGCTGCCTCTACTATCTTCTGGGTGTGATTTAATGCTGTGTGCCAGAGTATGCAGTGCAAGAGTGTGCATTAAAGAGGGTGCTCACAGGATGTAGTACAGGACCTTGCAATAGCACATGTGAACATAAATGTGCATTAAGGCGGATGCAAACAGGATGTAATAAAGGGCTATGCAGAGAACATGTGAACATTAAGAGTGCATTAAAGAGGATGTACACAGGATATAGTACAGGGCTGTGCAATAGAACACGTGAACATGAGTGTACATTAAAGCGGATGCACACAGGATGTAGTACAGGGCTGTACAATGGAACATGTGAACATGAGTGTGCTGAGGGTGCATAAGAGTATGCACACGAGAACACACGTGTGTACATACATGTATGCGTGTACAGAGCATAAGCATCTGCACACACATGTACACATGGGTGGGCACAAGGAGGAGTGTGAAAGAGACGGTGCCTGTGTGCCGGAATATGTCAGAGTGCAACACAGGACTGTGTCTGAATGGGGGGCTAGGGATCATGGGCGTGGGCATGTGAATTGTGTGCAGGAGAGTGTCTGAATCATGGTGGCCTGGGCATGTGTGGGAGGGTGTGAGTGTGTGGGAGAGTGATGCAGGAGCGGCATGCACGTGAGTGTGGTGTGTATGTGTGTGTAGAGGGTGTGTGTGGGGGGTGGCACGTGTGTGACAGAGTGCTGTATGCGTAAATGTGACTATGAGGGTGTGTGCATTGACAAGCAGGGAGGTATGCACATGCCACTATTTGTGTGCACCCCAGGTGTCCGTGTGCCTGTGTTCGGGAGTGTGTCCAGCTGGGCATGTGCCTGGAATAGATGAGGTTGCTGTGTAAGTTTCCACAAGCACAAGGGTGATGGAGGATGTGAGGAGACACACTTCCCTCAAGTCTGCCATGGGCTCCTGGCGGTCAACACCCTGTGTGGTATCTGTCTAGGGTCGTGCCCTTGATAGGAGGTGCTAACCTTTCCAGAGCACCTACTTACTATGTGCTGGCCACAGGGCACAGCTGTCAACAGGCTAGCCCAGAACCATCTGCTGGAGCCCATGACCCCATGCAGGAAGGCGAAAGGTAGCTGGGGCTGCATTCATGGCCGGGGCTGCACCAGTGGATGGCTGCATGGATGCCACAGTTCCCAAGAAGAGAGCTTGGGGCTCCAACAGCCAGGACTACACAGTGATTTCCTCTGGAGTCAGAATGATTCATTCATGCCCTCTCAAACCTCACTCTGCTGCCAGGCCCTGTCCTAGATACCACAGAAAACAGAGCCAAGTAAGACAGGCCCTTGCCCTTGAGACTATCTTAGCATGTGGGGCCGTCCTGGACATGAGCAATGACCACGCACATGGCGATCGGTGTTGCAAGAGGAGGTTTAGGGATGGGGTTCTGGAAGAGAGTGAAACCCAGGAAGACTTCCTGGAGCTGGTGGCCCCTGAGCTAGGTCTTAAAGGCTGACAGAGGCTGGGATGAAGGAAGGCATTCCAAGAGGAGGGAACCACATGAGCAAAGACGCAGAGGTGACAGGACTCAGGGTAGAGTCCTTGGAACATGCTCACTGGCTGTAAGGAAGCTGAGATGGGGAGGACCTGGGACTGGGCTAACCTAGCGCCCTGAAGGATGGTTTCGGTTGCCCATCTGAAGAGCAGGCCAGCACTGGGAACATTCTGCCGGCACCACTGGATACACCCATTGGGCAGGGACAAACCAGGTGCTGTGATAGAAACTGCTACCTGCATTGAAGCCACCAAAAATGGGGATGCGTGTGGCCTGGTAAATAAGCTGACAGCTGGCCCAGGGGCTCAGGGTCCCCACTCCTTCACCCTTGCCCTGGGTAGCTCTGAGAACTCAGTGCTGTGCCACATCCCTGCAGGGAAGGGGCAGACTCTGGTGGCCCCATCCATGCAGTAGGTAAACTTCTAAGGTGCTAAGACTGTCCAGAGCTCAGGTTCTGGGGCCAGATGACCTTTATGTCTTGTCTGTAGCACGGTGCTTGGCAAAGTTGCTTTTCTCTAAGCCTGTTTCCTCACCTGTAAACAGGAAATGCAGCCCCCTCCCTCCCCAGGTCAGAGGCTCTGTGGTTAGAAGTGCTGGACTCAGAATGAGACATTTCCTTGACTCCCTTTCATCCGTGTTCCACAACCCATCTGTTAGTAGATCCTGCTGGCTCAACTTCCAACACATGGCCAGACCCTGACCTCTTCTTACCACCCTGACTGAACCTCCACGCTGACCTCCCTGCCTCTGCCTCACCTCTCTACCAGCCACATTCCCCCAGCAGCCAGAGAAGCCTCTAAAACCTAAGTCAGGTGACGTTCCTCCTTTGTGCAAAACCCTCCCACAGCCCCCACTGCACTCAGAGTGAAACCCAGAATTTTTACAGTGGCCCCAGGGGCCTACAGCCTTGCTTTCCCCCAATCGTGCCAGATTCTCCACTCACCACATGACCTTTGCACTCGCCATTGCCTCTGCCTGGCACTCTCATCCCTAAATATCTACATGTCTGGCTCGCTCCTCTCCTTCAGGCCTATCTGAGAGGCCTTCCTTGGCCATTCTGTCTAAAATACTACCCACCTCAATGTCCCTGGCTCTGCTTCATTGTTCGATATGTCATCCTCACTCAAAAAGCTACGCATTTCCTTGTTAATTTTTTAAAAGCGCTCATCTCCCTGTCATAGACTCACTTATAAGTCCTTTGAGAGCAGGAACTGAGTTTTCTTCCCCAGGGTTGGAGCAGTGCCTGGCACTGGCTGAAAGTATGTTTTGATTTGGATTCCAACTCTGCTACCCATGAGACTCCAGGGAATGTCTCGCCCACTCTGGACCTCTGGCTCTTTATCTGTAGAATGGGTCTGATGATGATGATGATGATAACAATACTAGGGTTGTTCTGAGGATGAAACGGGCTAGCGTGCCTGGCACAGAGTAAGTACTCAATGCAGAGCAGCTGTCACCATGCAGATGGGTGTCTAAAGATGAAGGGGGCGACAGATGACCACGTCCTTAAGCCTGAGAGGCTCGGGATCCTCTCCGAGGCAGAACCAGCTCTGCCTTGATGCATGCATGAGGCCCCTCTGGCATGGGCCTGTAAGCAGGCTGAGCACACTGCTGGCAAGGAGGCAGCGGGGACAGGCGGCACTGGGAGCCCTATGGAGCATTTGCTGGGTTCAGATGAAACCTGGAGGTGATGAAGCGATGCTTGCAGTGTGACCCTGTTTGCAAAGTGGCAGGAAAAGAACTGCAAATCTGTGTAAATATCCTTTAGAATTAACAGGCTTCGGGGGACCGGCAGAGGCTGAGAGAGCAGGTAGAGGACATTGACATCTACTAGGCTTGGTGCCTTGACAACCTAAGGACCTTTCCTCCTCCTCATTTTGCAGAGGAAGAAACTGAGGCCTGGAGTAAGGCCTGGAGAGGCTGAGGTTGGGAGGTCCTCCCAATCTCCAGGCCCCAACCATTGCCCTGAGACAGGCCCTGGTGCTGCACAGCCACACTTTCATGGGGGAAATGCATGGGTTAGGCCAGATAACCAGAAGCCTTCATTTAGCCCTCAGGACATCCTGGCCCAGAGTGGCAGGTGCTATTGTCACTGTCCCCTCCTACAGATGAGGAAGCAGAGTCTGGAGAGGTAGGTAAGTGGCAGAGGTGGGATTCCAACACTGGAGGCTGGAGCCACCCCATGCGATCGCCTCTCCCTGTGACAGGTCCCCTCCAGTTCAGGCTTCTGGATTCTCAGGTTGCCAAGGATGCGCACACATTTTCCCAGCTGAGATAAAGGCCCTCTTAAAAGCAACACGCATTTATTAAACGACATTTGCCAGGGTTTCAGCACACTGCCGGCAGCAGACAGTCTCCGGACTGACGGGATTTTTCCCCAAGCTGACACTATTCACTGATTCCTTTTATAGAGCATTTTGCAGCTTGCAAAAGCACTTTCCACGGCTCTTAATTCCTTAACCCTCAACAGTCACCCATTTGGGAGGAAACAGTGTTAGCGGTTCCATTTTGCAGATGGGGAAACGGAGGCTCAGAGCTGGGAAGACACCTGCCCCAGAGCACACAGCCAGTAAGCGGCACATGCTGGACTCCAATTCAGGAATGTGCCCCAGAGCAGAAGCCCCTCCATGGCCTCTCCTCCCAGAGGAGTCTGTGGAGTCATCAGGACAAAGGGCCAGGAGGACATGCAGGCTGGAGCATCAGGGCTGGAAGGGACCTGCAAGAGAGGAGCCGAGCCAAGCCTCCCGGTCACAGAAGGGGAAACTGAGGCTGAGGGGGCAGAGGAGTGGGTTCCAGGTCTCCCCGCTGGCAAAAGATGGAGCTTTTAAAATTCCCAAACCATAAAACGATGACAATCACATAACAGCAGTAACAATAGCTAATAAGCATCGACGCTGCCCAGAGCAAGACAGGCCTCATGGAACCTCTGCAGGAGCCCAGTAAGACAGGGCTGTCGCCACCCCCATTTCACGGAGGACCAGATGTGAAGCTTTGGGAGGTACAACCATTTGGCCATGGTCACAGGGCTGCCGAGTGGTCTGATTCCACCTCCCTCTGTTGTAACCCCCACCCCGCACCAGACTGCCTCGTGCAGTGACCCTCTGGGGGAGGCTAACCTCGAGGTGGGGCCTCCAAGCCAACCCCCAGCCAAGAGTGCAGCACTAATTACGTCATGTTTCATGGTTGCAGCACCTGATCATTCATCATGGTGTCTAAAGTTGGGCAAGCAGTTTGCGTAGCCAGAATTTTAAGTACAAATTCCGGGGTTTCTTGGCCGCCTCCTCCTATCCCTCCTGGCATTGATATCTTTGTGCTTCCTGATATCTTAGGGCTATTCATGACAGCTTGATGGGCAGGGAATTGTGGTATGATCCCGGCCCTGGCTGCAGGGGGGGGACTGTGGTAGTTAGGGAATAAGCTTTGCTCGTACAACCTCATAACTCCAAGCCTCCTCTTTAAAAGGGGGATTTTAGTACCCACCTTGTTCTTTCATTCAATCAGTATCTATTAACCCACCTACTGTGTGTCAGGCCCTGTGCTGAGGTCCTGGGAGGCCCAACAGTGAGTAAGAGACATAGCCCATCTCTCGTGCAGCTTATATCCTAGTGGAGGAGACAGGGCTGAAATAATGAAATGAATTAATATAGAAAGGGCTAGGAGCACTAGGCAACAGGCAGATTTGGCCCAGTGATAGAGAATCACAAGCGATAACCTCTTTTGGAATGGGGTGGTTGGGACAGCATCCAAGGAAGGGAGGTGGCAGCTGAGACCCAAAGGAAGTGAAGACCAGGGAAGATGCTCCCGTAGAAGAGACAGCCAGTGCAAAGGCCCTCGGGTGGGAAAGAAGCTGGTGAAGGGCCAGAAAGGACGCTGCCAAGGCTGAAGCCCAAGGAGGCAGGAGAGTGGTAAGAGGTGAGGATGAAGAGACAGACGTGGTCCAGAAATGCCATGCTGGAAACCGAAAAAGGTTTCCAGCAGAACCAAAGATGACTTGATTCACTCCAGCTGCTATGGGTGAAGAGCCCGAAGGGGGCAAGGACGGCTGCGGAAAGCAGCAATGGGGATGCTGCAGCATTCAGGGACCTAAATCCTAGTTCTGCACATAAAAGCTGTGTGACCTTAGGCAAGTCACTTTACCTTTCTGAGTCTCAGTTTCTTCATCTGTCCAATGGATTAACGGTATTTCCCATCTTACAGAACCCGTGGTGAGAATTAAATGAGAGAATGCATAATGATCCTCTCACAAGCCAGACATGCTCCATGTTAGGTGCTCAATGAGCCAGATCCTGCTGGTCTGGCCCTGACCTCTGCTCACTCCCCCACCTCTTCTACTTTCACTCCAGCCCCACTGGCCTCTTTGCAATTCCTGGAACATACAAGCTCATTCCTGCCTCAGGGCCTTTGCATCTGCCATTCCTCCCACATGGAGGGCTCTTGCTATCCCCCGTGGCTACTCCTCCATTTTCTTTTCTTTCTTTTCTTTTTTTTTTTTTTTTTTTTTGAGACAGAGTCTTGCTCTGTCACCCAGGCGGGAGTGCAGTGGTGCAATCTCGGCTCACTGCAACCTCTGCCTCCTGGGGTCAAGCGATTCTCCTGCCGCAGCCTCCAGAGTAGCTGGGATTCCAGGCGCACGCCACCATGCCCGGCTAATTTTTGTATTTTTAGTGGAGATGGGATTTCGCCATGTTGGCCAGGCTGGTCTCAAACTCCTGACCTCAGGTGATCTGCCCACCTCAGCCTCCCAAAGTGCTGGGATTATAGGCGTGAGCCACCGCACCTGGCCTTAATTGTACATTTTCTTGAGGCCTCTGCTCCTTAGAGCGGCCCTCCCTCTGTCCTGACTAACCTTCTCCCTTCCCTCCTCCTGCTTTTCTCCCCAGCTACCTGGCATCATTTGTTTACTTGGGTGTGTTTTTCTCTTCCTCACTAGAATGTCTGCTGCACGAGAGCAGGTGTTTTTGTCTGTCTTGTTCACATTTGTATCCTCCAAGCACCTAGAGCCATCCCTGGCACATAGTAGGTGCTCAAAAATATTTGTTGAATGAATATTTACAATTAAAATGACCCTAATAATGACTGCAAAGTGGTTAAGGGTAAAGTGAGGAGTGGAGCCTGGCTTTACCTCTCACTGGCTGTGTGGCCTAAGGATGAGCCCCACTTGGCCTTGGGAAGCCTCAGTTGCCTTATCTGTAAAGTGGGGATGAAGGGCCATACTGTTTGGCTCGTGGTGAGGGTCAGGTAACAGCTCACATGAAGGGATGTGGAGAGAGTATCGGTGGGTGAAATGATACCCCATGTTTAGCACTTGCTTTATATACTCCCCGATTCTCCTCTCCCTAGCAAAAATAGGGGCAGGGGACAAGCATGGTATAGAGTTGATCAGTGTCAAAGCTGAGGCTCATTACATCATTCCTTCTCATTTTGCATATGTTTGAAATTTTCCAAAATAAAAAGATAAGGAAGAGCTAACACATGTTCAAGGCTCAGCCTGTGCCGAGCACATCGTGTACCTAGTATTTCCTTCCACCACGGGCTTCCATTTCTGGAGAACACCGACGGTCGGCCTGAAGAATGGAGCTGTAGAAACGGCGCTGGTATCACCGCCCACCTGCTCCAGCCGTCCCTCCTGGCTGGGAGGCCCATCGCTCACTCCCGGCTTCCAATTTCCCTCCTGATCCGAGCACCTGATCTCCTTGGGCTCTTGGCGCTAATCTGCAGCCATCTAACACCCTGCGCCCCCGAACGAATGTGCCAGGAAATCTTACAGACACAAAGAACCAATTCTGCAGCATTTCCGACTTCCACCTCAGCTGTTTTGCATCTCTCTGGACTGAGGGCCTGGCAAGACACCTGGCAGGGAAAATCCATCTCGTGGAGGGCTTCATCAGAATACCCATCCCAGGAACACCAGCAGTTAACAGGAAAGCAGTTTCAGCTGTGAAAATAGATGCTTCCTTCTCTAGTATGGGGACAGGGACACACCTTGGGGACACACACTGCCCCCACCTCATAGGAAGGTGCACTGATAGAAATACGAGAGGAGGCCGGGTGCAGTGGCTCACGCCTGTAATCCCAGCACTTTGGGAGGCCGAGGCGGGAGGATCACCTGAGGTCAGGAGTTTGAGACCAGCCTGATCAATATGGTGAAACCCAGTCTCTACTAAAAACACAAAAATTAGCTGGGCGTGACGGTGTGCGCCTGTAGTCCTAGCTACTGGGGAGGCTGAGATAGGAGAATTGCTTGGACCCAGGAGGCAGAGGCTGCAGTGAGCCGAGGTCGCACCACTGCACTCCAGCCTGGGCGACAGAGCAAGACTCCGTCTCAAAAAAAAAAAAAAAAAAAAAAAAAGAAAGAAAGAAAGGAAGAAAAAACAAAAACAAAAATGAGAGGAGCACTAAGGGAGCAGGGTGCCAGCACAACTGGGCCTCAGTTTCCCTACCTGTCAAGCAAGCCTCAGTGACGGCTAAGGAATGGCACAACAGTTAACCACATAGGCTCTGTGATTAGGCCGACAGTGGTTATCCACATCTGGCGCTTACGGTGTGGCCTTGGGCAAGCTGCTTCACCATTCAGAGCCTCAGTTTCCTCACAGATCCAACGGGTCCGAAGATAACGACGTGCATCGCCAGGTGGCTGTGAGTACCACCAGGGTCACACACACCAAGTGCTGAGCCCAGGAAGCAGAGAACCCAGATGGTTCCTATTAGTATTACTTTAGTGTTTTCCCGGGGAATTCGGGATCCTGTCAGATTTCTGGCTGAAACAGTGGAAAGTTCCAGCACAGCCCAGTTTTTAAAAGCCTTGGCCTGGACCACAGGAGGCTTGGCGTTCCAGCCGGGCCTTGCCATGGATCTCCCGCGTGGGCCCGGCCAGTTTTTTTCTCTCTGTTCTTCTGGCCGCACCATAAGGCACTGGATGAAAGCACAGAGGGCTCTCTCAGGCCCCCTACTGCTTTGCAGGTCCGGGAATCCACAACTGCAGACCTGTGGATCCAGATAGAGACACCTAGAGGCAGGCTGTGCCCACAGCACTCAGTCCCTAGTAACAGGCAATTAAATCACTCTAGCCTGGGTTTCTACTCAACTTGTCCATCCCCCAACAGCATAAAAGCTACAAGGACAGCTGGGTGGTGCGGTGGCTCAGCCTGTAATCCCAGCACTTTGGGAGGTGGATCACCTGGGGTCAGGAGTTCGAGACCAGCCTGACCAACACGGAGAAACCTTGTCTCTACTAAAAATACAAAATCAGCCAGGCATGGTGGCGCATCCCTGTAATCCCAGCTACTCGGGAGGCTGAGGCAGGAGAATCGCTTGAACCCAGGAGGCGGAGGTTGCGTTGAGCCGAGATCACGCCATTGCACTCCAGCCTGGGCAACAAGAGTGAAACTCCATCTCAAAAAAAAAAAAAAGAAAAAAAAAAAGCTACAAGGAAAATATCAAGCTGAAGGACATTTGTTCACTGAACAGCCTTTGCTGTTTTTTAAGTACCCCCTATGTGTAAGCAACTGTGTTAGATGTTTTATGAAAATCCGTCCCAATTGTTAAAAAAGAGGAATCAAACCAGAATAAAGCCATGCTAATTACAACACTGGTTAATATGTATTGAGTGCTTACTACATACAAGGCATGGCTTCCAGCATTATACACGCATTAATTAACTTAATCCTTGCAATAGAGTGGTTAATACCATTCCTCTTTTACAGATGAGCAAAATGAGACACAGATTCCTGCAAATTGTCCAAGTCAGTAGCAGGGCTCAGATCAACACCCAGGGGTCTTAGCACCATCTTAGCGCTAGGCCAGGGTGTGTGTCTGCGTGGAGAGGCTCCTCTGACCTCTCCCCAGGAGGCACATTAAATTGAACCTCGGAGGATGAGTAGGATTCAGACACAGGAAGACAAGGAGGTACAGGGAGGGCATTTCTGATGGCAGGAACAGCACGGGCCAAGGCACAGAGCTGAGAGTTCAGCTGAGGGCATGGATCTGTAGAAAACCGTTTACCAAACGGAGAGAGGCCACATGCTAACGGGCATACTACAAATCAAATGCCTCTCGTTCATAAGTTCAGGGAACACTGGAGTAAATGTGACCCAGCTCGGGATTCTACATTGCAGGGCTTCTCAGGGTCTTTGGGGTGCTCGTGTGGCTGAGTAGCCAGCAAAGCTCTGGTCTGCAGGGAGGAAGCCTGGTTATCCTGCAGCATCTCAACAGGTCAGCTTGTTGGAAAACATGTGGCTGGAAATCAGGCCTGGCAGGGAGGAAGCCCAGGCCTCACGGCAGCTTTGTGTTTTTTTGTTTTTTTTTTTTAAAGAAAACTTGGACCCACTCAACAGTTTTGAGCTGGGGAGTGACATGATCTGAGTTGTGTTGACAGGCCAGAAATCTGAGCACATTTAAAAAGAGAGAGAGAGGGGGGAAACCTTCCGTCAGTCCAAGACTACAAATAAGAAAATAACCTGTCGCACGGAGCCATTGGAAGCAGCAAGCGAGCGCGTGTGGGATCCGTACAACACTTTTAGACTCCCTTCCTCTCGCACACCCCCTCTCCATCTGTCGCAAAGGGCACCAGGAAGATGCAGGGAGGAATATTCCAGCTCTGGGGGCTCCAGAGCTCAGCAGCCCAGATGGGGGGCTCTCACAGGAGCCACATCACCTCTCATGTGTTGTTACTGGTGAGGACCAAGGGGCTGTCAGTATTTCCACCCTCAGCAGGCTTTCAGAGAAATGCCTGTGACTTCATCAAAACCTTCTGCCCAGAGAAAGAACTCTTCTACAGTCCTCCACCCAAGGCCAGAAAGGGGCCTCTCTCACTCCCTCTCCAGCTTGGACTAAATCATCCTGATTAAGTCATTGAGCTTCTTCCCTAGAAGCCACCCAGCAGGAAGGCCAGCATCCAAAATCCTGGCTCCTCTCTATCACTTATAAGTTAGTTCCCCAGTTTGGGACTCGATTTTCTGCATCTGCAGAATGGGGAGAAGAGCCAATCCATGTCTTGCGGGTGAGACGACGCAGGAGCAGCATCCGGCCTGGAACGCCATTAACTATCTAATGAATGTTGGTTTTCCTCCCTTCTCTCAACACATGGTTCACACCAGCACTGCATAGGTGCTGCATGACTGCAAGTACAGACGTGAATTACCGTGAGTTTCCGAGGGGTTGGTAAAGGCCAGAAAGTACTCAGAGAAAACTATGGCTTTAAAGGAACTTCCAACAGCCTGATGTGTTGAGCCAAAGCACTCCCGCCCCGTTTTCTCTTCTTACGAAAGAGGAAGTGAGATTAACTTTACCATTTAGGAAAGTACAGAGGAGCCCCCAGAGTGCCACCCTCTACCAAACGGTGAGAGGTTCACTGGGGGGCCCCGCTGCTCCCCAGAGCCTGAACTGCAACTTGGCTTGGCCTCCTCCAGGCCAGAGAGAAGAAATGAATGGGAGTTTATCTGAGGTCGGCCTGGGGGGTGACTCAGAGGTCTCAAGGCCTACCTGGGGCCAAGCAGGCATCCTGCGGGTTCAGCGTCAGGCCCTGCTGACACAAAATCAGGTGCCAGGTGTCCCCAGGCCTCAGTCCCTTGCCCTTCTCCCAGCCTCAGAATCTCCCTCAGTGCAGTTGTTTTAGGAAACAGGCCTCACATTGGGTCCAAAAACATAGGTTGGTGACTTCACTGGGATCTTTTTAGAATTTCCCTTTGGCAGCATTTGTGCTAAAAGCAATCTTTAGAAACTTCTTCTCTTGCCTCCCCCACCCAGGATAATTCACATGATTGGCCCCACCCCCCCAAAACAGTGATCATGTGAAGACACAGGAATCATGTGACACCTCCCAGGCTGACAGTTCTGCCTGAGACACTAGTAGTCATTCAATCCAAAGCCGCCTTCCTAAACCTGACATTTTAGTTTCTCACTCGAACAAATCCATTTTCTTAGAAAATTGGACAACTGCCTCCTTGTACCTTCCTACCCTCATATCCTGTCTCTCTACTTCTTTGTTGTAAATTCCATGTCTGGAGCAATAGGGGGAGGGGCCTGAGGCCCCATCCTTCAGCCAAACCAGGTGACTTCCCTGCCCAGGCCCATGGTGTGACCAGGACCCCGAAGAACAGATACTGAAGGATAATGGGAGACTTGAGCTATGATGGTCGCACCTCATCCCTTCCCCACCACCCTCGACCAAGAAATTCATTCTTACCTCCTAAGATTTATTTATTTCAAAGCTAATCTTGGCCCCTCTGCTGCTCCCACTTTTTCAGGCTATTGATGCTGAATGGATTGGAACGGAAGTTTTATGGCCCAATCTTTACCATCTTATAGACTGTTTTTATAGGCAAAAGGGGGAGATGTGCTCACAAGAAAGGTGTTGGTGTTCCCAGCCGGTGCCCCAGGAAAGGCAGGCTGCCCATCGGAGCACTTGCTAATCAGCGTCACTGCTCGTTTGCCAGGGACTGAACCACAGCCTCCTGGTCGGAGAAGGGTCTGGAATAGACATTTAGAAATTAACTCGGGCCCAATTCCCTGCTTCAGGAAAATTAAGCACTTGTGAGTGACACTTGTGCATTTCCAGGCCAGGAAGGATGGCAGGGCAGGAACTCGGACTTTTGCAGGGTACAAATGGCCAGCTCAGGCAGGAAGGAGCAGATAGGAGATGCCACTCACTGGAGAGACGTGAACTGTATCAGTGCTCCCTTCAGCCCAGCAAGGACGCAACTATAACTGAAAAGAACTGGGGGTGGAGGGTGGGGTGGGGTGGGGGGATGCCTATGTGAATTCCTGGGTTTCAGGGGAAACTGCAGGGCAGAGAGAAGCAGCTGTCTACCCCCCATACTTCTCCTTCCACCCACTCTTTGCTAGTTCTCCCTTTCTCCCTGCTATCAGATGGTTACCATCTCTAGTCAAACGCAAAAGGGGGTGTTGGACACTGAGCTCATCTTTACCTCCCTCCTCAAGGGTGGGAGGTACAGAGAGACCCCACTGCCTACAACACAGTTTCAAGACGACAAAAAACAAGATCCCCATTTTTCTCTCCCTCCCAACTCCCTTAATGCCATTTCTCTGCTCCCCCCGCCCCCCACCCGGTGCCCTCCCAGGAGACCCATGGTTTTGCAAAACCCATTTAAGAAGCAAGACTCCTGAATGGTGACCTCACCCTTTGGTGAACATGCACAGTAGCCTTCAGAGCCCGCCTGCCGGCGACAGCCAGGTGTTTGATGTAGGCCAACAGAAAGACATGGTCAGAGCCACAGGTAACATCCCCGCGGAGCACCTGAACTGCAGGGAGCTGCCTGGAAGCTCGGGGAAGGCAGGAGGAAGGGGGAGCTGGGAGCGCCTCAAGGAGCAAGACCACCAGGGAGAGGCTTTGGCAACCACAGGGACAATCCACCGTGTTTTTACATAAGGATCTGTTGCTCGCAGCAGCTCGCTCTGGGGTTACCGCGGCCTCCCGGCTCCCTCTCTCCCAGGCACACACTAACACCGGTTTACTCTGCGCACCAGAGGGAGGGCTCACTCTTCCCTAATTGCAACAGCTTGTCTCTGTTCCATTCCAGGCAGCATCGGGAGGACCTCTGCCCTCACCTCCTCCCCTCACACCCTGAAGTCAAACATGTGGAAAGTCGTATGTCCATGGGGACAGATTCTGGGGAAGCCGGACGGCCCTGCTCTGAAAGCCACTGTCAGTCAGCCTTCCCCATTGGACCGGGCAGGGGCTGAGTGAAGCAACTCGGCTCTTTTGTCTCAGTGCCCAGCACAGTGCACAGAGTCAGAGTCCACAGAGACAAACTCTCATAGAAGAGACTTGGGTTCTACCCTTGGCTGTGTGACCTTGGGCATGTCGCTGGCCCTCTCTGGGCCTCAGTTTCTGCATCTATAACCCTGGTTACAGGCGTCTCTCCCCCTATTACTGCTCGGCATTAGCCGAAGGGGTCCCAGTGCCAGTCTGAGAGGCCTGAGCCCGCAGTTTGGGGAGTGCAGCGGTGGGGAGCGGGGGGGTGCTTACCTGACCAGGCGCAGGACGCGGCGAGCAGCAGGCAGAGCAGCGGCCCGAGGCGGCCGGGGGCCGGGCCGGCGGGCTCCATGGGCCGCGGCTGCGGAGCGAGGAGGGAGAGCGGCCGTGAGTGCGCGCTCGGGCGGGAGCAGGCTGGAGCGGGGAAATGACTAAGGCTCCCCCCCTTCCCCCCTCCCGGCTGGGCCTCCCCCCGACTCCGGAACGGGCGCCTGGAGCGGCCGCCGCCGCCGCCGCGGTTTTTGGAGACCCCCCCTCCCCGCCCCCCAGGAGAAATGGAGAGACGGAGACTGGGAGAGACCCCAAGCGCGCGAGAAATAAAGCCAGGGGCGGCCAGAGAGAGGCGGCAGGAGAGAGAAACAGACCCAAGGGAGCCAGGCAGAGAGCCAGAGACACGGAGAGGCGAGAGGGGGAGAAAGAGGGGGAGAGCGAGGAGCGAGGAGCGAGGCGGCGCGCAGACCGACAGACCGCGCGGGAGAGAGGACCGCGCGAGCAGGGGCGAGGGGCAGCACGGCCGAGCCCGGCCGCGCGGAGCCGCCCCCGCCGCTGCCCACCTGCCCCGCCCGGGCTCCACACGGCGCGGGCGGCTGGGCTCGCTCCCGGCCCGCAGTCCCGGCCGCTGCCCCCGCCCTCCCGGCAGCCCGACCCCCTCCCTCCTTCCCTTTCCCCTCCTCCCGTCTTCCCGCCGCCCGGGGAGGCTTCGGGGCTCCGGCCCCGCCGGCACCTTCTCTGCGAGCGAGCGCCCGCCTGCGCGCCCCGGGGGAGGGAGCGAGGGCTGCGAGCTGCGCGCCCGGCCGGGGAGGGCAGCGTCCTCCCCCGCGCCGGCGCCCGGGCCCCGGCTGCTGTCCCGGGAAGGCGGCCCCGCGAGCCGCCGCGGCCCGCTGGGGCTCGGGACTAGACGAGCCTCCGGCTCCGACAGCGTGCCCGTTCAGAAGCCCGCGCGGCTGGTCCCCAGCCCCGACCGGTCCCGCTCTGCCCCTCCCCGTCCCTGCCGGGCCCGGACCTGCGCCGCCCGCGAGGGCTGGAAGGCACTGGAAGCGCCGCCGGGGCTGCCCAGAGGCCGGGTCCCCGCTCCACTTTGCGCAAACTTGTTTTTCTAAGGTCAGCGCTGCGAGCTGGCTACATCGTCCTCTTAAGGTGGACCGGGGAAGTTGCGGCCGACCTCCCCTCGCCTCCGGACTCCGGCCGCGCGGCTGCTCCCCGCTTCCCACTGGCGAGAGGCTGGAGGCGGCGAAGGAGTCGGGGCGCGGGGGCGCGGGGGGCGGGGGGGCGTCTGCCTTTTAACCCTCCCCAGGAGGTCGTGCCTCTGAGCCCCAAAGCTGAAGGCCCCTCTTGGGGGTGGGTGCGGGCCGGAGGGGCCCGATCCTTTCAGAGCCGGGCCGAGGTGAAGGAAAAGAAGGAAGTAAGTGAACGCAGGGGGAAGGGGAGAGGAAGAAGAGATGATGGTACAAAAATAGCGTGTGTGTAGGAAGGACTTCGGTGCCGCCTGGAAAAGAGGCGCGGGGAGGAGAGGGAGCGAGAAGGGGGCTGTGGCGCGCAACCAGAGGGGAAGGGTCGGGGCCTTCCCAGGGAGGTGGAGGCCCCCTGGCCAGGTGTCTCGGTGGTGGAGGGCGGACTGGGCGGGTGGGAGGCCCAGGCCGGGGCGTGTGTGGGAGAGCGGGGCCCTGAAGGCCTGGGTTCCGGGAGAAGGACAAGCCCTGAGGAAGATGAGGGGAAGGGGAGCCGGGGCCAGAGGCCTGGAGTTGGAGAGGACAGAACCCCGGTTTTCCCGGAGGGAACGCCGTTCCTGTAGTAGCCAGGTCAGTGATGGGGAGTGCCAGTGTCGTGGTCACCTGGCAGAAGGCTCCGCACTGTGGGAGGAACACAAGTTCAAGACCCCGCTGCTAATGGGAGAGAATTTTGGTTCACACAGTGGCGGTTAAGAGGACAGGAATGACACAAGGTGAGAGAAGGCCCAACCCTGTAAATGGACAGAAAGTTGAGGCCCGGAGAGGGAATAGGTTTGCTTAAGGCCACACAGCAAAGCTTGGGGTAGAAACAAGATTTGAATTCCTGATTCCCAGGTTAAAGACCTGTGCAAAGTAACACCACTGCCTCCCCTCCTGCCCCGAGCCTCCTGGTGAAGGCATGGCCCTGCTGTTGTGCAGGGGGGCAGGGAAGGTGCCACACTTGAGAACATGGGCTGAACTCCGTGGGTTCAAATCCCCCGGCTACTGTTATGAGCTGGGTGGACTGGAAAGTGCCTTACCTCTTCTGTGCCTCAGCTTCTTCATCTGAGACGAGGCCAGCGTGAGTCTCAATTGTGAGGATTTGATGAGTTAATATTTGTAAGACATGTTAAAAAGAGCCTAGCACATACCAAGTGCAACATAAGCATTTGATAAATAAGTGAAGTGTTTGACAACAGTCCTTGAGAACCCACAGGGTTCTGGGCAGCATTTGAAGTGCAAGGGAATTTTCATTTCTCTGGGTGTGGGAGAGCACGAGGTCCCTGTCCATGAGGAATTTATATTCTACTAGGGGAGACAGGTAAGTGGACAAGTAGAAATAATTAATGAAGAACGGAAGATTGAACTTAGAGAAGGAGAGGGGTGAGCGTATTTAGATAAGGGGGCCAGTAAGACCTCCCTGAGACATGGGTTGCTGAATCACAAGTAGGGTCAGCAAGGCGAAGATTTGGGGAGAAAGGTGTTCCAGGAAGAGGGCCCAGCACAAGGAGGGGAAGGCCCCAGGTGGCTAGGCCGGAGGAGAGAAAGCGCAGTATGCAGGACTGGGGAGGGTGGGATGGTCTCCAAGACCTGGGTAAAGAGCCTGCGTTTATTCTGCAGTTGGGAGACCCCTAGAGGGTTTTCAGCACGGGAGGGCCATGTCTGATTTATGTGTCTAAAAGGCCAGTCTGCAAGCGGAGGGTGGACTGGAGAGAGAGGAGCGTGGAATTGGGCACCAATGAGAAAGATTGTTCTGGGGTTATCCTGGTATCTGAGGTGGGTGCAGGGAAGGTCTCCAACTCTTCAGGCCACATCGGGTCTAGACCATGAAGGTAACCAGGGAGGCTCCTGGGAAAATCTGTCACCAGACTCCATCTGGGGTGGGAGTGGAGATGGGGGCTGCTGATGAAGTCAGAGAAGAGGCAGCCTCCTGCCCTGGACTTCCAGAAGGCTCTGCTGTTCACTGTTCCTCAAGACACATACACACTCACAAACCTGCTGGGGGATTAGGAAACTGGAGATTAGGGAAGGATAATAATTGAACCACCTGCTATTTATATATAGCACCTTTGGCAAAGGCGCTCAGCAGGGCTTCCCTCACCTCTCCCCCTGGAGGGGGCCCTGACCCTTGTTCTCTGTCCACATAAAAATCATCCTTGGCCAACCTCAAGGCTGAGAAGCCATTGAGACCCACGGGCCATGGGTAGACTGATGTGAGGGGCAACTTGTCTGAGGCCACACAGAGAGATTATGGCAGATAATTGACATGAATCAGCCACCCGCACAGCAGGAGGTCTGTGCTGCCCTGCGTTAAAATCTAACTGCCTTCACACATGTTCACTCACGCACTCAACAGTATTAAGCATCTGCTAGGTGCCAGGCACTGGGAATGCAACAGCTGGAAAACAGATAAAAATCTCTGCCCTCAAGAAGCTGACATTCTAGTGGGAGGAAACGAACCGATAAGATAAGTAAATTATTTAGTTTGTCAAATGGGACAGGTGCTACGGGGTGGGGGGAATTAGCCAGGGAAGAGGCCCAGGAGTGCTGATGAGAGGGATAGATTGCAATTTTGAAAACGGATCAAGGAAGGTCTCACCGAGGAGGTGAGATGGGAAGCCAGGGGTGGTTGCATCCCTGCTTTTGCTGCTTGACTCTTCCTCTTACTCCTAGAGGGCACAATCTGTCAGCAAATCCTGCCTGCTGGGCCTTCTCATCACAACCAGGGCCAAACCACTTCTCAGCGCCTCCGCTGCTTCCGCCCTCGTCTGAGCCTCCACCGCTCTCACCTGGGCGCCCTATTTCCACCTTGTGCCTTCTGTCGATTCCTCACTCACCAGCCCGAGGAATCCTTGCACAGAAGTCAGATCACATTCCTTCCCTGTTGTCAAGGGAAGAAGACAAATGGGCATGAGAAGGAGAGGATCAGGGGCTTGGAAGCCAAGATTTTGCCAATTTGACTTATGCAACTTGGGCAAAAAAAAAAATTGAGCCTCAGTCTTTTCATCTGTGAAATAGGGATAACAAACTCTGATACGAGGGGTCAGTAGTGACAAGGATGTGAAAGCAGCCACGATGGCATGGCAGGGCCTATCTGGAGTTTGGCC
The DNA here is from genome assembly GCF_000001405.40 of Homo sapiens. Lineage (NCBI taxonomy): Eukaryota > Metazoa > Chordata > Mammalia > Primates > Hominidae > Homo > Homo sapiens. The sequence continues at coordinate 1,891,205 of NC_000020.11, read as the reverse complement.
TTTGCAGGGGGGTAGATGACACCCTTGTGTGTTCTAGGTCCTTTGAGATACATTATCTCACTGAAGCCTCAGCAACTCCGCGGTGTTCCCAGAGGTGAGGAAACACACTGAGAGACAGAACACGACTTGACCAGGGCCACCCTGTGGGGCACGCTGGCACCTGCACAGCCCAGCTTCACCTGGTTCCAGCCCTGCCCGCGCTCTGCTCCCCACTTCCCGTAACCCTGGGCTGGCGTCAGCAGGCAGGCCTGCCAGGAGGCTGGAGCTGCCAACGACCTATTTTTCTGGGCAAGAAGAGCCATTTGGAGTTAGAGGTCTCAGCTGTGAAGCCAGAACAATAAAAATAAAAACAGCACGGACTCCTGGGCAGCCTGGACCAGGGAACCAACTGCCCCAAGAGTTGCTGCTCACCAGGCTGGAAGGCAAGTGGGGTTGGGGGGATGGGAGATGGGAGTGACCTTACCGAGCCCCTGCTATGTCCTCCGGCCCTTACAGAGTAAGGGTAATCTCCAAGGTTCACAACAGGCCCTTTGTCTGGGTGGCCAGACCAGTCAGGATTTGAACTCAGTTTTCCAAACAGTAACAATTCCCATCTGTTCAGCAGCTACTATGCTTTACAGACTTGTGACATTCATACCACACCTGGGGGGGTGAGCTAATCATTCCCTCATTCTACAGATGAGGCAGCTGAGACTTCAGGAGGCCTCTGCTCACACGCCACCTCCTTGAGAGGCCTTGCCAGACCACCCTGTTAAAGTAGTCACCCTCACGCCTGCCCAATATGCCCTACCCTCTTCCCTATTTTATCTTCATAGCATGCATCACGACCTGCTAATATTGTGTGTCTCCACTGCATTTTGTCTGTCTCCCTAACTAGCTCCAGGTCAGTTTATCCTAGTGGCTTGCACTCCAGCGGTCTCTCAGACTAGCCCCGTGGGGCAAGTTATTTTGATGATCTGTGCTTCCTTCGGGGTAATGATAGGACCTTACCTGAAAGGTTTCTTGTGAGGGTTAAATGAGTTAATATCGGTTAAGTGTTGGCCGCTGCCATTGTTTTGTCCCAGAGCTGTAGCTCCAGGGTCTTTAACAGTAAACAATAGGTTGTCAATAAATATGTATTAAATTTAAAAACTGGGCTGGGCATGGTGGCTTACACCTGTAATCCCAGCACTTTGGGAGGCAGAGGTGGGAGGATTGCTTGAGCCCAGGAGTTCCAGGCTGCAGTGACCTATGATTGCTCCACTGCACTCCAGCCTGGGCAACAGAGTGAGAACCTATCTCTAAAATAATAGTAAGTAAAAATAATAAATAAATGAAGCTCTCTGCCCACGATCCAATCTCAGGGTAAGGAATTGGCACAGCCTGGATTTGAAGGTGGGTCTCTATGAACCTGTGCTTCAATCCATCCCACTTCATAATCGCCTCTCCACAGGCCTCCATCCAACCACAGCTGCACAGGCATCAGAGCTTTGGTTCTACAACGTGAGCTGATACCAATAGCCCCTGGAGGGATTGTTAAAACACTGATTCCAGGGCCCTAGCCATGGAGTGTCTGATTCAGTAGGCCTTAGGTAAGGTCTGAAAATCTGCATTTCTAACAAGGTCCCAGGTGATACTGACGCTACTGATTCAGGGATCACACTTTGAGAACCGCTGAATAGACTGCCATTCAAGCCAAGGTGAGACTCCTTTGTAAGCCTGGCCCCAGTTTCCGTGTTGGTTAGTCTGTCCATCCCTGTGGTTTCTGTCCTCCCCTTAGGGCGAAGGCAGAGGGCAGGACAGCGCTTGCTGTAGAGACTGTAGCCAGTGCTCTGATGCCTAGGGGCTGTGACAGATCACTGAACCCAGGGGAGCTTTGCTGTAATTAGTGCTTTCCTGGGGAAGTCAGTGATTGAGCAACTCGGCAGGCAGGCAGGCAGCTCATAGGAGCCCATAAGGGGTGGGACCACACTGTCGGGCCCTAAACACTGTTCTCAGGCTCTGGGGATCTAGCTCCACCCAGAGCTGAGCCCTCCCCAACACCTCTGGGTGGGTGTACTGGTGGTGTTGCAGGGGCAGAGAGCTGATTGCCTCAGCCATCACGGAGAGACCTGGGTTTGAGTGCTGACTGCCTAATAGTACTAATCACAGGTAAACATAGGAGTGTGTGTTAAGCCCCAGGCCTGAAGGGTTTCAGCACATTATCTCATGATGCCTCCCTGTGATTATCTTACGTGGACACAATTCTTATCCCCATTTCACAGATGAGAAAACTGAGGCACAGAGAACTTAAGGAGCTTGTCCAAGAGCCCACACCTTGAGAGCTCCAGAGCCAGGCTTTGAATCCAGGAGCTCTCATTCCCTATCCCCTGCTCCCGACCTCTGCACATTCTGACTTCTACTTGCTTAGGATGAGCTTGGGATGCCCCACAGTGCCCTCTCTGGGTTTCCATCACTACTGAGGTGTTGGCTTGATGATTTCCAGGTCCTGATGGTTTCCACGTCCTTCTCAGGTGCCCAGCACCAGACCTGCTAAAAGGTCTTAGACACACAAGGATCTGGTGGATGAAATAAGGAATGAACAGATGACCCTAACTCCAGTTCTGATGGGACAGTGTAGCTCAGTGGCTAAGAGATATGCATGCAATTCCAGGCGCTGCCCCTCACTATGTGTGTGATCTCGAGTGGGTCTCAGCCTCAGTTTTCTCATCTGAAAATAGGTGAGGGCAGGATTAATGCATAAAGAGGAGAGCGAGAGACAGAGACGAGAGAGAGAGACAGAGAAAATATGCACCAACGCATGGCAGCTGAGAATGATGTTTGTTGCCTGCTCCATCTCAGTCTGTTCGTGCAGTTCCTCAGGCAAAATACCTTGGTGCCCTCCTTGACTTATCTCTTTCTCTTCCTTCCCTGCCAGCCAATCCTCTTGGCTCTACCTTCAAAATAAACCCAGAATCCAACCACTCCTTCCCACCTGCATCACACTCCGGTCCCAGTACCTTCATTTCTCACCTGGATTAGTGCAGTCACTTCCTCACTGGCTCCGTACTTCCTGGACTCCCCACCTTGTTGCTTCTTCAATAAAAGCCTCCCAATGGCCTTCCACTCCTTCTCTTGGAGTAAAACCTGAAGTTCTCAGTGCAGCTCAAAAGGCCCCCTGTGATCCCCTGCTTCACTGACCCGGTCTCCCCACACTCTCCCCCTTGCTCACTCCACTCCAGTTAATTCACCATCTCAGTATTCCTTGAACATGCCCAGCAGGTGCCTACCTCAGGGCCTTTGCACGGGCTGTTCCCTGTGCCAAGAACCCTCTTCCCCAGCTAGCTGCCTAGTTTGCCCCTGACTCTTCCTTAGGGTCTATGCTCAAATATCACCTCTGCAGAGAAGCATGTCCTGACCACTCAGCTAAAACTGTCCCATCACTTCCTATTCCCTACTCCACTTTATTTTTTGATAGCATTTCCATTTCTTGACAGCATATCAATGTTATACATTTGATTGGTTGCGTGGCTCTCCTACTGATCTTTGAGCTCCATGTGAGCTCTTTGCCTTTGTTCCCTAGCACCTGGAGCTGAGCCCACACAGAGTAGGGCCTCAGGCAGAAACTACTGATAGAGTGAAAGAAGGAGCAGGAAGCAGGAAACAGGAAGCAGGATGCAGCTCTGTCCATGAGGGCACTGGCAGCTGGATCCAGGGGCTCAGGCTCCGCCACCCGAGGGCCTGGCTTGGCTTGGGTTTCCTGAAGGAACAGGTGTCCTCGTTGGACTCCCCCGGCTGCTTTCCTGGGCAGGGAAGCCAAGACTCTAGTTGGCCTCATTCCTGTACCCGAGAAAGGAAGTGTCCATCCCTGGGCAGGAACTGGTTTGGCTCTCAGGGAAAGCCTAAACAACACATACCACTGTCTTTGCTGCTGCAGCTTCCGATTGGGACCATGCCCTCTGGGTAGCAGTTGGCCACACCAGCCTTCATGCTGCCACTGCTGCTGGAGCAAGGAGGGAAGTGGATTGGGAAGTCTCCCAGAGCCCTTTGGACTGTATCTGATGGGAGCCTCATAGCCGTGCCATACCTATTGTACAGATGAGTAAACAGAGGCTCTACCTGACCAACATATTGACTTAGTGGCACAGAAAGGCCATAAACCCAGATCTTTTGATAGCAAATCCCTTAGTCCCCCTCCTTACTCCCAACTCACACCCTGCTGCCCCAACGCCTACAACCCTGGCTGGTTCATACTTGAAATTCCACCATTATAGTTTTCTTTCTCACTGTGTCTCATTCCCTCTTCAGCAAAAAAGGTGGTAACTATCCCCATGAATCTCTGGGAATAGATGAGGAGACTGAGGCGCAGAAAGGGAAATGGGTGGCCTGAGCTCTCACGGCCTGTAGGCATGACAGGCCAAGTTAGAAAATGTTAGTCTGTTTTTCCTCTTTATGTTTCTTCTCTTCAGCTTCAAGCAAATAGTTGGGCTTAGTAAACAGGCACTGCAGGGATTTAGGCAGAAAAATGAACTCCCCTTAGTCTTTAGTAAAGTCTAAAACCAAAGAGATTCCCAGGAAAGACTGGGAGAGATTGGGGGCAAGCACACTGGAGAAGCTGGAGGGGGTCAGGCTGACAGGGGGTGCTGCCCCCACGCCAGCAGGATTGGGGAGGGGACAAGGCCTCCAGGGCAGGCCTCACGGTGGCTCCAGGTAGCCATAACTGTGTCTCAAGACCTCTGCCCTCATGGAAGACCCCACAGCCCCACAGGGTGACTGAGATGGGTGTCCCTTAGGGTGGGACAATGGGCACGGCCTCCATCAGCCAACAGATATTTATTGAGCATCTACTATGGCCAGGGGCTCAGCTGGATGCTGGAAATGAGATAGTCACAGTTCCTGCACTCAAGGCATTCACATTCTAGTGGAGGAGATGGAAAGATAAATGTATGAATTAGGGGGGAGGGGATGCTATTCTATGCAGTGGAGGTCTCACTCAGGGAGTGGAGTTTCCTAAGGAAAGTATGAAGGAGAGCCATAGGAACACCAGGTGAAAGGAATGGCCAGTGCAAAGACCCCGGGAAGACCCTGGGATGACAAGTTCAAGGGCAGCTGGGCAGCCAGGCAACGGGAAACTAGCCAGGAGTGAGGCGGGAGATGAGGTTAGAGAGGAAGCAGGGTCCAGTCTGTTGGGCCGTGCAGGCCAAGGTGAGGCCTTCAGCTTTTACTCAGAACCAGATGGGAGCCACTGCGGGATTAGGAGCCGAGGAGCTGCAGGCAAGCAGTGTGGACAGATTCCTGGAAGCCACCTCAAATGTCCAGAGACTCTCTAAGACCCTGCATCTGAGCAGGCTCTGGAGAGGAGAGAGCCCCAAGAATGACCAAGGTTGGGCTTGCTTCACGTCACCCCCATGGGATACATTCACAGACCAGATGAGTTTAAGTAATTTGAGGCTTCTCAAACTTTATTCTTGCTAAATGCAGATTCTGACTTAGTAGGTTTGTAGCGGGGCCAAGATTCTGCATTTCTGATAAACTTCCAGGTGAGGTTGAAGCTGCTGGTCCCTGGACTGCACTCTGAGCAGTGAAGATTTAAAGGAAAGAAATGGCCACATCTGGCCCAACTGTGCCTGTGGTTTGAGAATCATACCTGCTGCTTGGCTTCAAGGCCGTCATTCAGGGCTCTTGACAAATCGTGCAGCCCCTCCACTCAGCCTGTTGCCCCCAAAAACCAAATGGGTCTTTCCCCAGCTCCATGCTTCCTGTATGACATAGGAGTGGTCAGGGTGGGCAGTGGGCTCCGGAGCCAGCTTACTTGGGTCCAGATTCCAGCCGTGGCAGCTACAGGTGGCAAGACTGTGGGGAAATGATTTTATTTGTCTTGCCATTTAGTTTCTCATCTGCAAAATGGAAAACTCATGACAGCTTCTTTACAGAGCTATTTGAAGATTCAAAGGCATAATATATATCAAAAGTCTGGCACACAGGAGGGACTTCATAAATGTTATATCACTTTCCCTTCAGTTTCACCTGTCCTTTAAAGTAGTGATCTATGTACCTTTATCTCATTTTTCAAATTTTTCTATTTTGTGTATGTGTTCTATGAAGTACATAACAAAGAAATATACAAAAATTTGTAAAAAGTATCAAATGTACATACATTGAGGAATACATGTTTTAAATGTTTTTACTGATAGGGAATATGATACAAAAAATTTTGAAGACCACTGTTTTGAAGCCCAGTGGAATTGATAGAAATAGACTCTCAGGGCTGGAATAGATTTTAAAGGCCTTCAATTCCCCTGGCACCCACTCTCCCATCTGATGCCCAAAACCCTTGGTTGCACTAGATTGCCTCCAGGGGTGGGGAGCTCACTACCTTTCCAGGCAATCCATTTTGTACAGCTCTGGGAATGGTTTCCTGAACCCAGTGCCTATCTGTATTCTAGCTGCCTCTGAGTTCCCGGGGGCTGACTGAACTGCTCCTCCCCTTACTCCACTGTGTCAGAGCCCTGGGATCTCCCAGGGGCCCAGTGCCAGGTTGTGTGCAGAGTGGGCCTAAATAATGTCCCATGAATGAGAGGGAGTGGGAGATGGGGATGAGAAGGGGGATTCTGACAACTCTCATTTGGAGGTATGTTAACAGCTGAGTGCTGTTGTCCCCCTGGGAGTGTGTTGATCTGTGTAACTCTGGATCCGTATCTATTCGTTTGGATTTATTTGCATGGGTTTGT